>NC_000012.12:43066188-43217703 GCF_000001405.40 Homo sapiens | reverse complement strand
CGGAAAGAAGTCATAAGGTATTTAGAACCTGAAGGAAATATGAATTGATACAAAGGAGAAAGGAAAGAAGCAAGGAAGGAAGGAAGTGACGAAGGGAAGGAAGAGAAAAATTGAAGATTTAGAGATGAATTGATAAATGTCCTTCTATAAATTGGGTGTTTAGGGGGCAGAGGGATTACCTGGCTTCAACAGAGCACACATGGTTAGAATAAAAGAAATTGGTAATATTGTTTTGAATACGTCAATATTTTTCATTGGTTTATGAAATTTAATAGCTTTGCCCGGAGGAAATCCACCACTTTGAATAAAAAGAAATGATGGGGCTGGGCCACCTCTGCCAGTGACATGACAGACACATTCCTAATGATCGGGAATGACTTACAAAAATAGCTAGATCTGGAACCGAAGGAGAGGGGGTAGGTATTCTCCAAAGAAGGTAACTGTGCATGCCCAGGTAACCTGTTCCCATAGCTTATTCTGGATAGCAGAGAATCTTAACGGGCTTGAATCTATAATATTTAATGCCATTTCAATCAACATATTTGAACTTTTGAGTGTAATAATTGAAAATTTTGAAGCTAATCAATTTTTCCATTTCTAGGGAAAATACACTCTATTATAGAGCAAATAGCCACACGAGACCATTCTATATGTTTCTGAATAAGAAAACTTTGAGTCTAAGGCATTGGTCTAGTGTCTAAAAAAATTTTTACCGGGAAAGTTTAAAGCAGCTTAAACGCACTTTTTTTCTTTTTTACTATGGTGATAGATTGGAGGATCCCATGGAAAAATATGGAATATTAGAGCTGTGAGGAGCAGCATAATATTTTAGGAAATGAGCATATTGCCTCTCAGCACTTATTGTGCTATACCACATGGCTAATAAGAGGATGGAAAATAATTTAAACCAGAAATCATAACAGTAGTATAGTAACTGCTCTTCTGGTTATTGTCATTCTTCTTCTTCTTGCTGTTGTTACTATTAATTTACGTCTGTTCCCCATGTGGTATATGATGTTATATATTACTTATAATTTTTGCTGTACAGACATTCACATATGGGCTCTGTCTTATTTGATCATACTTGTCATTAAAATACCTGAGAGAACAATGTCCTCTTGATTTAAAACAAAAAAAGCTTTGGTTTTACTCATGTGATGTTAAAGAATTCAATTAAGATGTTCTTATTGATTGATTTGCTTTGCTTAATCTATGCTGAAAATCAAAACAGAGCACTAACTGACTATTCAAAATCCTTAGCTTGATGCTGATGATATTCAGTTAATATTAGGTCATTTGTATTTTCCAAGAGTACTTCAGAAGTAGAAAATAATGTATTCGAATCTCCCAATCCCCCATCACACAGAAATTAATGGTTTTCTTAATCTTTCACATGATAAATGGAACAATCACACTAAGAGATACACAACTATTCTTGTGCAGTCTCTGCCATATCACAGTTTCCATTTTAGGAATGGCGATCACGGAGATGTGTCTGTTTTATTTATGCAGTGCCTCAGATAGCACCATATGCTTGTGGATTCTTAATACATGCTATTTGATGATTGATTTATACACTCCATTTACAAGGTGTTAATGTAAAAAAAGGCCAAATTCAGTCTCATGTCTCAGTTTAATAGTTTTTACATTTTTCCAGTAATGTCTTTTGTAAACAACACTAAATACTACTTCAAGTTCATCAATGGCTCTTTATGATTAGTTGATATTCTAAGACAACAGAATGTACATGAAATATACAAATAAATACGTTCTGTGTTAGACAAACAATGTACAGATGGTTTTAAATTTTTATGATAAATATATGGACTGCATATTTTTGTAGAATGATTTATTGCAACTAGTCTTAGAGAGCTATTCGGAGATACAGAATAGTGTAACTAAAATTTAATAGAACTTTAGAAAGTAAAAGAGTGAAGTAGAAACATTTCATTTCATCAGCACAGCAAAAACTTTGGGACTTTTGTCTAGCACAAAATTTCAATGTTCAGTTCATGCACTAGAAATAATCATATATTTTTGGTAACAGAAAAAAATGGAGAGGCCCCATGACAATCAATTTCTGTGTAAACAATTATTTGAAAATGGAACATTTATAAAGCAAATTGGAGTGACATTCAAGGCTTGGCAACATGGAAGACTAAAAATAACATGAGCTTTTGAGTTCATCACACTTATAAACCTAGCTCCATCTCTGATGTTCATATTTGCCATCTATAAAATGAAAAAATATTACTTACTTCAAAGGGTTAAAATATAAAATGAAATCAATTATGTTTATTGCACATAAATGGTGAGATTTCAATAGGTTAAGTGAGATATAAATAGGGCTTCAGTAATGACAGCACTTGTCACTATCATATTGATTATGTCTGTTTTCTCTCCTAGATATTTGAAACCATAGAGGAAGGCATGGGGAAAAGATAATGCAGGAAGTTAAATCCCAGGGTAACCAATTTGGAATTTTATTTAAAAGTCAGTAAGAGAATATTAAAAAGGCTTGAGGTAGAAAAATCAACCTGATTTCGACTTAGCTTTACAGTAGTAATTCCCATAAGAACCATAGGGGTGATTCTTAAAAATGCAGATATGGGGACCTTACAGTGAGAAGTAATGATGAATCAGGTTTGATAGGAGATCCAGATGATTCTGTTACAGAAAATCCCAGGGGCACATTTCATGACATGTCACTTTAGAGAAATAATTCTAAATGCAATATGAAAGGGTGTTTTAGAAGGGGAGAAACTGAACACAAGGCAATCACTTAGTTACCTGCTACTCAAAATGTGGTTGGTCAACAGCAGCATCGAGGGGATCTGGATGCTCAGTAGAAATAAAGACTCTTGAGCCAAACACAAAACCTATGGAATTGGAATCTGCCTTTTAACAAAATGCACAGCTTATTCATTAACATATTAAAGTATGAGATGACTGACCTAAAAAATGGGTAGTGCAGATGGAAGCTAATAAAAGCCTGGAATTGGGCAGTGGCAGAGGGAGAAACAGGAAGAATGAAGAGAGGTTATACTAGTTGACTTGTTATCAACCCAGAAATTCAGGCCAATGAGGCCCCACCTCTCCATAAGTCCAGTGGGCCAGGCTCTGTTCATCATTATAGGTTGTTTTTCATAACACTTCTGGGATGCTTCCATGCTTTCTGAGCAGGATTTGGCAGATTTGTAAGAAGGAATAAATGCTTGTCGTGGATTCTCCCTCTGCTGACCCTGAATGGAGCAGACATGGAGTATGGGTTCTCTCCCTAGCAGCCTTAGGAGCAAATTTCAGAACAGCTGCAAAGCAGGCTGACACACTTTCAAATAACCATCTGGCCTCACTTCCCACCCTGATGTGGCATAAACATGGAGATGATGACGGGCGGGGGGGCAATCATCAGATTCATCTCGGGAAAGAAGGACTGGAGAATTGAGGATAAATAAGAATTTGGCTAAATTTGGTATGTCGTGGTGGGCCCTTTTAAAAATGCCTTCTGGACACAGTAGCTTGCAGAGGGTGACAAAGGTACCACTCTCTTTTCCTTTGAATCCTTGAGCAATTGTCATTTTCCAAATTGAAGAAAGTTGCCCAAGTGCTGGAGGTGCCAGGATATTGTTTCTATGACAGTGAAATACATTACTGCCCACTGCGTTGAGCCTAGAAGTTTGTAGCTGCACATCTGCCTCACTAATTATGCTCCTAATGTGACAGAGGGAAAAGTACACTGTAATTTTGATATACGGTAGTTTCATGAATATAGCATTAGTGCAGAACTTCAGGGGTGCCTGTATAAGCCAGAGAATGAGGCTGCATTAAATATCCAGTAACTATCAAGCTAGCAGAGATGTTCTATTAGCTGAATGGCAGAGCATGCAATTTAGAAGCTGGAGACTCTGAGTTTTCTCTCAGCAGCAATGTCTAAACATAATTAATCAGTTGCTTCTCACAGTAAGTGACACTAATTAGTTGCACTCTAATTGCCATGTATGGAGTAATGTTACTCCATTCTAAGTGCTCTGTAGAGTAGCGACATGAGATTCTTAATACATTATCACAGATTTCCACGTAATTACAATTCTTTCCAATGGTGTGAAAGGAAAATATTGTAGGCTATTTCACCAGGAATCAATAAATAACTGATATTGTCACTGTTAGGAAATAGAGTGAGCTCCTTCCTTATCATTAGCATTATGTGATTAGAACTGTGTATATTGTGTGTATATTGTAAGTGCCAAACCTTGGAACTAAGGCATAGGTCCTTTGCTAGCTATGTTCTTGCTGGATGGTTTTCTCTCCCAAAGGAAATTATTCTTAGTTGTTCTGAATTTTATTAAATTTCTGGAATCAGACAGAGAATTGACTTGATCTGACAAATAAAGAAAAGGGAAATATTAACTTCTAATCTGACTTCATTTTAGTTTTTTTGCTTTTGTCTGGTTGTATTCTTTATCCTGTATGTCATATTCTCCTCCCTGGTAGAAGATTAGCTTATACTTTTATATATTTGACATTGTTTTTTATGCTAAAGTACTTGAGTTGCTTGAGCTTCTTTTTAGAGGCTTCTTCCAAGCATTTGTGATTCTAGAAAATTGTTCTTTAAAAACGATTTTAAACTACTGGGGAAAAGAGAAAATGTTCTTGGGCTCTCCTTCAGTTTCAATTCTATAAGATAAAGAACATCATGGGAGATCTAAAGAAAGAAATGTGACAGAGCTGATATAATAGCCAAGAAAAATAGGCCTCTCTTTATAAATTCACTAAACTATTACAAATGAGAGTCAGAATTCAAAATTGTATAACCTTAACTCACTATTTCTTCTCTTCTGACTTCCTTAGTCATATATATTTTAAATTCTGATTTTGTATGGATTCTACTTCCCCTTTCTTTGGAATTATTATCTTTTCATTATATGATTCATTTTGAAGAGATCTTTGTTTCTCCCGGGAGCACATTTGTCCTTTAGTGACTGTTTTGATTCTGGTGTTTAGCAGCTTTTTCTTTGAAGATAATTCTCTCTGTCTCTTTCTGTATTTTCTAAGTCATTTTGGAGGCTTTTACTTTTCTTCACTGCTGAGGTTGACATTATGCGAAACTTTAAGTTTCCTCCAAAAAAAATGCCAAGATCAATCACATACACTGTAAACATAAGAAACATTTCTCCTCCTCCTAGGCATCAGCTATAATGTTGATGTCGCTTTAAAATATGTCACACAATGTATGTTGTAGTGGGGCATGGGAACGGTGATGGTGATGGTAAGTTAAGAGGATGGTGAGAAACGAGGGCATTTTTCTAGGTGAATCCGTTAGCATGAGCACACAGAATACTGGCAGTGATTACAAAAGGGCACAACACTAGCTTTGCTGTAAATATATTCAATTAATAATAGAAATATGAACAGCTGGAAACAGATGCCTGAAGGCACAAAAGCATGAGACATATTTGAAGACAGTATTGCATATTTAAAAAGGAAATACTTAAAGTTAATTTTGGTTTATAAATATTCATTAATAATAAGACTATGAACAGCTGGAAACCTTAATTGTCTTTCCCCCCTACATTTTCAATGATTTTTTTGTCTTTTAAAAATATTTTCAATAATTAAATTTGCAAAGTTTTCAGTCATCTGTATTTCTAATGAAGAGAAGTAAAACAAAAATGCCCAATAAACAAACTTTTACAAACCTCAGGAAATCCTTATAGGGAAATATCCTTATATTATGCCATATTTGTTCTACCTCCCTTCATATAGGGATAGGAACTAGGCAGGATTGTGAGTCTTGGGCAGACTGAGAAGTTTTACAATAGACTTTATAGTATGTGTTTATAATTGAACCACGTGCATGTATTAACTATTCAAAAAAAGATGAAAAATTCATTGATATTATACAATATGCAACGCAAAGGAGAGACTGTGTTAAGGAAAGAAAGTTTTAAATCAGTTGTAAATAATAATAAGAGCAAGACTCCTTGGATGAGTCAAAGTGGTTTCCTAAAGGAGCTTGCCTGGGACTTTGTTAGTGCTAGAATCTTCTTGACCATGTTTTCCCCATCTTGGTGGAGTGGCTGTTAGAGCCCAGAATGGAGATGGAGGATGTGAACGAAGCAAGGCCATCCTAGGTTGAGAAAGAAGTGTCCCAGGATCGAGGCTTCTAATAAAAAAGTAAGAGTCTCTGCTCCACAAAACAGAAAGCAGAGCTGTTTTATGTGTTTGTTTTGTTTTACTAAGCTCTGTGATACCTCCTAGAAACTTCTAAACCAGTTAGTTTAGGATGGAACTAGATGAAACCGATTCATTTACAATGATGATGACCCCTGTATTTATTTTCGTGCTCAAGGCCTAGTTAAATCTGGATCACCAGTTACTAACATGATCTGTGGCAGCACAGAGGAGAGAACAAATTAATTGCAGACCTTAATAGGTTTCAGGATCCGAAAAAGTTCAGAAGCAAAGTCTGAAGCTTCTCAAAGAGATTTTAATTTTCTTTGTACAATGAAGATCTCTTTACCAGGAAGGCAGAGATGATTCAGTTGGGGCAATCTGCTTATTTCTATTTGACCAAACAAGGAGTGTGTGTATGTGACGGGGTCTTGTTTTCCTCTTTTTCTTTCAAAAGCTCTTCATTTGCTCCCTTCTATGAAACTTGCATCCAAATCCTGGTGGAGTATCCTTCTTGGAAAGCCATCTCATCTTATGAGTCACTTTTGCAACTACTTGATTTGGACATGGTTTTCTTATTGCAGATGTGTGGGAATCCCTCATCAAGTTTTCCAGCCATGTTCTCCTCAAAGGAGAGCAATGTTATCACCACCAACCCCAAAAGTGAGGAATAATAATTTATATGTACATGCGTATCTTCAGGGCATATTATTGGCTCTCGATAAAAGGCAAATAGTAATGATAAGCCTTGAAGTTTGACTTTAAAAGACAGCAGACTGCAAACTGCGTGAGCCATTTTGAAAACAGATTCAAAAGAAGAAGTTCTGAACTTTCATTTCCCGTCTGTCGGGTTTCTTTGAAGTGGGAGTTAACCCTGACATGAAACAGCTCCAGAAACTGAGTTATGCCCAGTTGTTTTTGGCCTGATAATTTGACCCTCAGTGATGACTCCCACACATAACTGGGTGTCTTTAATGACTCACTTTTCTCCTCTTAGAGATAGGTCTCCAGACATTTGTGCATTTCCCAGTCTCTGTGTTTCAGCCTCTCTGGAAGAACAAAAGAATAGCTTAATTTAACAAATAAAATCAAATGAATTGTCTGCTCCCTCTCTAAATCAAGCCTTTTTTTTTTCCAGCAGAACCTTCCTTACCTTCTTTGTTCTTGTTTGTAGTAGAGCTCTTCTAATTAAAAATCTTCTATTAAATGAAATAAAGAACTCATCTCCTGGGTGGCAAAAAGCTGAAGGAAGATTTTGCATGAATAACCTAGGAGGAGTAATTCGAAGCTGTTTTTCATTTTTATTGAGGGCAGAATAAGAAAAAAAATGATTTTGTTTGTGAAAACCATGGAATTTGGTAAAATGTCTTTAACATGAAGACTGAAATCTATTTTTATGCAGCTTCACTGAGAACTGAGGTACTGGGGTGGGGATGGAGTGCTGATTTGAAAGGAATCCCAAAACTGCCTTTTTAAAATGTTGCCACAAACACTAGCCTCTAAAAATTCTAATTGCCTCCCGCTTGAAAAAGACTAAACTTCAAAAGTATAACATGATCCTTAGAGAGGACTTATCTCCTGTAAATTATTTTAAATTAGGGTCAAAGTGATTTCCTCCTGGAGAACTAAATTACTCCTTTTTGAAATCAATTTTTATTTTCTTCTGCCATTATTAAAGAGTGAATTTTTAATATAAAAAAGTCAATAAATGTAAAGCTTATATATGAAAGTTATATTTCTACTATGTGCACCAGGAGCTCCATCTTCCCATTTCAGTTTAAAATGCATAAAACATATATATAATTTTAAAAAATGTACATAGTTTTCCTTTTTTTTTTTAACAATCATGCTGACTTTATGGAGCTTTTCTTTTTTTATGTGTATGCTTTATTCTATTTGGCATCAGATGAGAAAATATTACTTACATTTTTATAAGTAAAGAAATTCAGTTTCTCAAGACACAGTTTCTATGTAGTCAAATAAACAAAGTCTAGTGGTCCTATAAAATCTCTGCAAATGCTCCAATTCTACAGTGTTCTGTGCCGTTGGCCACTGAGCCTGAATAAATATTTAAAGGATTCTTCTCCCAGATGGACTATTGGATTTAATGTGGCAGTTGTTACATAATTTTATATATTAACATATTGCTATATGTTTATTAATATATAATCTTTGAATGCACACATTTTTTCTCTCATCAATTGATATATTTTATGTTTGTTTCCCCAATAAGATGATAGATCCCTGAGGTCAAAAGGCCATTGCTTATACTTCTTTCTCTTAGAGAATGTGATATAATGTTGAATAGTAGAAATTGAATAAATACAAAATCAGAATACCTCATGCTCAACCCCTGATTCTGCCCCTTGCTACTATTCAGGTTCTTTGACTATTCCTTTAAAATAAGCATGCATATCTATCTCACAGGGTTGATGAGACGATGTGTGTGAAATGGCTTTGTGAACTTTAAAGTTCTATACAAATATTTGGTTGACCCTCAGAGGGTGAGTACTGGTCAGCTGGATGAAAGCTTTGGAGATGGAGAAGAGAGAAAGCCAGACAGCACATGAAAGAGAGGGAAGGGGACCAACTTCAGCTCACAGTCCTTAGTGTTTTCTGGGCAATTCTTTCAGAGCTAAGTCATTCTCTGATGTTCATGCTGCTCCTCTGGCCTCTGCTTGAAATAACATCTCTTTGTCTCCATGGGCCAATGCCATTGGCAGGTTACTGTCGGTCAGTCTCCTCGAAAATTTTCTCCCCAGGAAGTTTTCAGGCTCAATGCTTTGCAACCATGCATGACTCCTTCTTGACTCTTCTCCATCCTCATGCATAAGCAGTGCTGTTGCTCATTGCTCATTTGAGAATTGTTGGAAGCTATTCCTTCCTTTCTGTTCTCATAATCGCCATCTTAGTCCTAGCTCTTGCTCCTTTGTATAGAGAATGGGAGAGACTCCAGAGGACCAGAGATAGGCAAGTGTCCTCCAGATAAGTAGAAAGGTTCAGAAACGATAGTTTGATGACTTTATTTGCAACTCCGCCCCACAGTTTTAGCATTTATTATTAAAAAATTAGTCAGTCACCACCTAAAAGGAGATATGATCTCATTTACTTCCTAACATTACGGGGCTGGCAGTGCGTGAAATGCTGTGAGTACCATGTGTGAACTCAGCATTTGGCAGGACTCATTCTCTCAAACCACATGACTTAAACATCTACTGTGTGTTAGGGGGATATAGAGATATAAATACTGTACATTCTTCATGCGTAATAGGCTCATAGTCTAATGAAAGAGGCAGCTACATAATGTGTAATATGGCACAGATGAATATAATGTAATAAGAACAGTTAAGACTGGGCAGGTGATATTGCAGGTTCCCAGGAGACGAACAGTTTACACTTCTGAGGCTAAGAGATCAGAGAAGATTTTCTGGTAGAGAGGATGCCTAAAGAGAGTATAAGTTTGTCACAGGATGAATGTTGATGGGGAGAGGGTATTCCAGCCAGAGGAGAGAGCATGAGCAAAACGCAAGGAGGCAGGACACATTTTGTTGTATGCATATGAACTACAAGCAATTTAGTGTTCCTGGATTGCACAGCTCCCACAGGGTATGACAGGTTTAGGGGACAAGAAAGAGCTTACTTCTTTCATAATATTCTGAAATCAAAATGGGAAGACATATGGCGACAAGTGAGGAAAATAGAATGGATTAGTAACTGGTAGGAAACCTCTGTCCAAAGATGGAGAGGGAAATATGAAATATGAAACAGGATAGATTTTAGCTCTATAAATTTGTACATTGAATCAACAATGATTTGATTGTTGATTCTACAGCAATCAAGCACCTAACACGTACTAGACCTGCAATTAAAATAGTTTTGAAGAAAGAATCCTTGCCCTCAAGGATTTTGCAGTCTAATGAGAAGCCTGTTCAATACAGTTTTGGCAATAATTTAAATTGATCTACTGAATGCAATAAAGTAAAACTGGAAGAAGTAATTTATATTACAGAGCAGAACCAGCATTCCCCCAATGCCCTGATGGCTTGCACTGAAAGGGTGACTCCAACCAGGTACTTAATAATAGCATGTATTGGCCATTTCCAACCAATGGAGTACTGATTTCAGCATGGAAGGTGCTCTTTCCACCAAAATATTAGGGCCTAGAGAACGCCTCTATTCTTACAAGAGACACACACAAAACAACAATCATACAGCATTCGGAGAGGAAGCGAATGCTGGAACTACACGGTATAATGGAAGAAAGAAACCAGGCTCAGGTAACATAACACAGCCTAAGAATGGTGACCGTTTTATCTGAGCTAGAAAATATGACATGATTTCTAGTTTAGCATGGCAGATTGAATCTAGTTGTTTTAGTCCCTGGGGAAACCCTGTTAAATAATAATCAAGTGATAAACCAGGGAGAGAGAAACAGTAGTGCCTTCAAGAACCATTTGCTATTTAAATTATATCCATGATATTTAAATGAAAGCTAAGTTACAAACATGCATATAAGAATATGGCCAGGTACATTATATTCTTTCTTCCCCTATTTCTTACCTTTCTGCACCCAGTAGAATTTCTTTCAAAAGCTTGGTTAGTAAATGATAGGTTGGATATACAAGCCAGATAAGCTCGTTTCTCTTCCATTTTAATTACTAAAATTTAATGATTAATATTTAATATAAATTGAATAGAATTTACATTATAATTTAACCATGAAAATGTTTTAAATTCCTCCAATATTTACATCTCTCTACATATAGATATACATAAATATATCTGTATATGTTTACACATTTTTATATATTTAACATGATTGCATTTTATTTTGGTTGATATGATGTGAGTAAAGCACTGGAATCTGATATGTAACACAGCCCTTGGGTTATTTCTGTGTAGGTGGTCTGTATTACTCACTGGGAGAAATACTGCTTAGGAATTACACCCTAAAGGTGAACTTGTTCCAAGATGAGTCAATAGCTGGAATTTTTTGTTATCTGTTTATTCATTTCTGTTGAAGCATAAGTGTATATAAAATGCACAAACCTTAAATTTATAGGTTAATCAGTTTTGGTAACTATATAGCCCCACAAAACTACCAGTAAATAAAAATACAGGCTATTTTATATCACCCAAGAAAATTCCAGCACGTTCCTTTGCAGTCACTTCATCCCACAACTGCCACTACCACTTTCTGATTTTATCAGCAAAGATTAATTTTGCCTGTTCTTGGGCATAATGTAAATGAAATCATAGTTTGTATTGTTTTTTGTCTAGTATCTTAATGATTTTGAGATTAATCCATGTTGTGACAAGTAGCATTTTTATTTTATTTCTAAAATTTTCTAGTTATTTGTTTTTAAAAATCATTTTCCATGTTTACACTCTACTTAGCTCTCACTTATAAGTGAGAATATGTGGTATTTGCCTTTCTGTGTCTGACTTGTTTCACTTAAGATAATGGCCTCCAGTTCCATCCATGTTGTTGCAAAAGACATGATTTCATTCTTTCTTATGGCTAAATAGTATTTCATGGTGTATGTATATATAAAGGGGTTATACACACACATACACACACACACTATGGAATACTATTATAAACACCACAATTCTTTATCCACTCATCTATTGATGGGCAGTTAGGTTGATTTCATATCTTTGCTATTGTGAATAGTGCTGCTATAAACATACTAGTGCAGGTATCTTTTCGATATAATGATTTATTTTTCTTTGGGTATATACCCAGTAGTGGGATTGCTGGATGGAATTGTAGTTTTCTCTTTTCCTTCTTTCATAATACATTTTGGTATGTACTGTGACTTGTTGAATGGCCTAGCATGTGGTCTATCTTGATGAATGTTCTGTGTGCTCTTGAAAAGAAGTGTATTCTGTGGTTACTGCATGTAGTACCCTATAAAAGTCAGTTAGTCATGTTAGTTAATAGTGTTGTTCCAATATGCTATAACCATATTTATTGTCTACCTGTTCTATCAATTATTGAAACTGAGTGTCAAAACCCTCTACCATGATTATAGATTTGCATGTATCTTCCTTTATTTTTGTCATTTTTAAATCAAATATTTGATTTCTTCTTAGGTGCACACATATTTAAAATTGTTAGAAAACAATTCTAGAAAACATTCTTAAAGGAATTAACTTTCTATAATCATGAAGTGTTTCCATTTAAGAAGTAATAAAAGATAATATCTGATAATACATCTTTATTTGAATTTCATTTTGTCAGATATTAATATAGCTATACATATACATAATATGTATATATATGATATAGCTATATATATCTTATGTTTTTGTTTGCATAATATGTTACTTCCCATTATTTTATTTTCATCATGTCTAAGTCTATATAATTAAAGTGCATTTTATTATAATTAAAGTATACTTTTAGACATTATATGGTTGAGTTGGGCTTTTCATATGCAGTCTAATAATTTCTGTCTTTTAAATGGATGGTTGGGGTTGTTTTATGTAATGTAATTATTGCTATGATTGAGTTTAAGTCTACCAATTTGCTATTTGTTTTCTATTTGTCTCTTCTTTATTTTTCTGCTTTATTTTTGATCAATTAAATATGTTTTATTCCATTTTATCTTCTCTATTGACTTTCTAGCTACACCTCTTTGTATTTTTTACCAGTATTTTAGATATTAACATACACGTATGTCACAGTTTACCTTCTAAGAATGTCCTTTTTTTTGAACAATGTAAGAAATTTATAATGGTATAATTTCATTTACCTCCACCTCTGGGCCTTTGTTCTATTTGGTTATTTATTCTACATCTATATATGTTATCAACCTAAAAATATATTATTTTTTCTTAAAAGAGTTAATAGTTTTTTAAAGCAATTAACTGCACACACACACACACACACACACAATGTAGATAATAAAAATGTTCTTTTATATTTAGCCACATATTTACACTTTACAATGCTCTTCATTCCTTCCTGCAGATCCACTTGTCCATCTGCTATCATTCACCTACAGCCTAAAGCCTTTATTTTAGTGTAGGACTGCTAGAGACAGACTCAGCTTACTTTTCACTGGGTATAGAATTCTGAGTTAACAGATTTTTGTTAAGCAATTTAAAAATTTTATTCCATTGTTGTCTGACCTTCATTATATTTAATAAAAAACTGGCCACAATTCTTATTCTTATTCCCCTAAATGTAATGTATTTTTCTTCTCTGGATGCTTTTAAGATTTTTCTCCTTATCTATCATTATCAGAAGTATGAGGAGTGTCTAAATGTGATATTGCTTTTATTTTTACTGTTTTGAATTTGGCCAAGTTTTATGAATCTCCAGGTTGATTTGTTTCAATTTTGGAAACTCTTAAGCCTTTTTTCTTCAAATATTCTAAACCATCCATTCTCTTCTTTCCTTCTTGGTCTCCAATTATACAAGGTTAGACAGCTTGGTATGGCCCCAGAAAACTTGGATGAAATTTTCAAGTTGTTTTCCCTATTTTTTTCTCCTCTCGTTTTAATTTAAAATATTTCCATTGACCCATTTTAAGTTTACTAATCTATTTTTTTTTTGCTGTATCCAGTCTCTGCTAAGCACATTCAGTGAATTCTTCAATTCTAGAATTGTACTTTTTCAGTGCTAGAATTTCCATTTGGCTATCTTTTTATAGATTCCATTTTTCTGGTGAAATTCTCAGTGTATTTCCACATGTTGCCTATCTTTTCTAGTAGAACTTTTCACATATTCATTGTAGTTATGTTAAAGCTCCTATCTGTTCATGGCAACATCTGGGTCAACTGTGGTTTGTGTCTGTTGAAGGTTTTTTCCATTAGGTAACATTGTCCTGCTTTATGTCTCATAATTTTTCATTTTATCCCAGACTTCGTGTGAAAACGTACTCTGGACACTGAAGTGCATAATATTTATTGCTAGAAAATAGTATTGCTTCCATTATCAGGCTGTGATGGTGAGAGTTTGAGACAACTTAATCATTAATTCAGTTGGTCTGGGTTTTGTTATGGCTTTAATTAGATTCAGCTTATCTCCGGGTTTAAAAGTCTTGAAGATGAGATCTGCAGGTCTTGAGATCTATGCATCAGCAAGACTCTAAAGACCTGGCTATACTTTACAGCCTAGCTATCATCATTCTTTTTATTTTTTAATTTATTTGTTTTTTTTTTTTTTGAGATGGGGTCTCACTCTGTTGCCCAGGCTGGAGTGCAGTGGCTCCATGTTGGCTCACTGCAACTTCCACCTCCCAGGCTCAAGTGATTCTCCCACTTCAGCCTCCCAGGTAGCTGGGACTACAGGCATGTGCCACCATGCCTGGCTAGTTTTTGTGTCTTTTGGGGTAGAGACAGGGTTTCACCATGTTGCCCAGGCTAGTCTCAAATTTCCGAGCTCAAGCAATCCACCTGCCTCAGCCTCCCAAAGTGCTGGGATTGCAGGTGTGAGCCACTGTGCCCAGCCCTAGTTATCATCATTCTTACCTGTAAGATATCTCTTTCTGCTTTATAATCCAGCAGATAGCTTTGCAGTTTCTAGGAAGCTTTCTTTGCACCTCTGCCCTCCCCTCCTCCACTTACTTTCTGCACTTCAAGAGCTCTCCCTGCATCTAGCTGCCCTTTGCTGTGTTCCATCTGGTGAAGGCCTGGTGCACTTTGGGCATGAAGATGGGATCTGTCTCAGTTTTCCTGCCCTGACCTTGTCTTCATTGGGCCACTACCATGTAGTGGCCTTTTGCACTCCTGAGAGATCTGTCTTGGCTTTCCTGCCCTACCCTCATCCTTTGATGGGCTGCTGGCAAACAATCTGTAAAAGCTCTGAGTGTTTTGGGAGAGTAGTCATGTAAGCTCTGCTGCCCTAATCCCAGCCCTTTTCAGACTACTGTCTGTCACCTGATGAAGGGTTCATGCACCGTGGAGGTATTTTCTCAGCCCTTTTCCCCTGCCCCCAGCCTTTGATATGCTGCCGTCATGCACTATGTGAAGGCACCACAGGAAAAGATTGAAAGATGAGTGTGGATTCACTCTGAGATTCTTGCACCTTGGGATTCCAATCCATCATGTCAATACATATATGACCATGAAAACTTTGTTTAAAATTTTCCTGATTTCTTTTTCTCTCAATTTGTGCCAGGTTTGCTCCTTCCACTACCATACCATTGAGATGTCTCTTCTCTCCTACAATGAACTCATTCCTTTCTCAGCTCTCTGATAAGTTTCACAAAATTATGGTAATATTACTTATCTGACTTGTTTTTGTTAAGGTAGGAATAACAGTCTTTTGTGACTTTCTACATCTCAGTTGAAATTGAAAGTTAGCAGCCTGAGTTTAAGCTGGTCTATGAGGTATGGCTTGAAGTACAGTTGGAGTCCTGAAGCCACTGCCTGGAGATATTTCCAAGTTGTTTATGTGGGACTGTATATGGTTTTAGCTACTATGATAGGTAAACTATCCCTCAATATTCCACCATTTCAAATTATCCCACATAATGATATCATATGTATTTTATGAATGCTCATAACCACATTGGAAAATTGGGAAATTTCAGAAGTTAATGTAAGGACTTCACAAAGAACTTAGCCCCAAAGACAAGGCAAATATCATGTCCATGAAGATGGGTCAACTCACAAGGATCAGAATTCTCCTCGCTCCACCATCTATTTTCTAGGTACAAGAACTAGAATATCATTGTCTTCTTGTCCACTCTGCTATAGCAAGATGTATCCCTGAAATCAAGCCAATGGTTTATGGGGCAAAGTTCAGATTATAACCTTTAAGAAGGTCTGACAGGACAGAATAGATCTTTGGGTAGGAGCCTGAAGATCTCTTGGCTTTAGCTTCTTCATCTGTAAAACGGAAATAATAATAATAGCTGTCTCATAGGACTGTATAAGTTTTACATAAAGACAGCTCTAGTATATACTTGAAATTGATATTAATTCAAGATTACATAATTGACTTTCCCCAAGCTAGGAAGTATTGGAACTGGGATTGAAATCCAGCTCAGTCTTACCTTTATTTCTAAAATTCCATACGAATTTTACAGATTATGAAAAGGAACTTCAAAGGGGTAACTAATTTACCCAAAATAATGATGCAGGAGATAAGTGCCAAAGTCAGAATTCAAAGCCAGTGCTTTTTTATTTTTTTTTATTTTTTATTTTTTTGAGACAAAGTCTCGCTCTGTCGCCCAGGCTGGAGTGTAGTGGCGCGATTTCGGCTCACTGCAAGCTCCGCCTCCCAGGTTCACACCATTCTCCTGCCTCAGCCTCCTGAATAGCGGGGACTACAGGCGCCCGCCACCGCGCCCACCACCACGCCCACCACCACGCCCACCACCACGCCCTGCTAATTTTTGTATTTTTAGTAGAGACGGGGTTTCACCGTGTTAGCCAGGATGGTCTCGATCTCCTGACTTCATGATCCGCCCACCTCAGCCTCCCAAAGTGCTGGGCTTACAGGCGTGAGCAACTTCTATGATACCTTGTCTCCCAGTCCAAGTTCCACGGGCAGAGATAAAATGGTAAGTGTGAGATATAGATAAAAATTAGAAACAAAGCAGAAACATAATCAAAATAAGTACATCAAGTAAGTTCCTGGAGATTCATGAAGATGCTACATGGAAATAAGTTGCTACTTATTTTATTCATCGATCAAATAATGATTAGAGGCTAGTGTGTGCCATGCTTTACGCTAGAGATAGCAATATAACATTGGACAAAACACAATAACACTTTTAAAGGCCTTACTTGCTGGCAAATGACACAATTAAATGGTTATTAAAATAAAATAAAAGTTGGATTACACAAAAAGAACTTAATATGATTTATTGACTTGATCTGAGTTTTTAAACTGGAACTTCGTTTAAACTAATTGATTTAAACTGAAGAACTGCTTACGGTTGCTGTATAAATTTGGCCTGAGTATAGCCAACTGTCAATGAATAGGCAAAATAGAGGTATAAATTTTTAAAATACAAGTTACCAAGTTTCACTTCCTTCTCCAAACTCTAATAAGCATTGCTGAAATGTAACTTTTAATTTTTATTTCATCTGCTCTCCCTTTCATTCTGCCTTACTAGATAGAACTATGTTGATAAGCATTGAAAAGCTCAGAAAGTGCAACAGCAGAAACAGTGGAAAGAATATTGCTCCACTAGAGTTATTCCATGTTACTACTCTAGTCATTGTTGCAGCAAACATTTGTTTATCACATACTAAGTGCAAGAGAGGTAAAATATATTCATGAATTTAATTTAATAACTCAGCAACCCTATGAGGAAGGTACTACTATAATCTCCATTTAGACATAAGTAAACAAGGTAGGGACAGGTTAAGTAATTTACACAAAGATAGTTAAGTGGCAGGGCTGGGATTCAAAACAAGGTTAAAAATACTTGCTCTTAAGCATTGGCCACTCTACTTTAAAACAGCTAACTATTTCTCAGGGATTTGGTTCTCAGTCAGATCAAATAGAGTTACAATGTGAAACACTCTTTTCCTTAAACCATTATGATCTAGGGTTTTTAATGTATTTGTTATGTTACTTTTCAATTATTAGTGTCGTTCATTTCTTTTTTCTTTCTCTTTTCCTTAATCACACTTGCTAGAATGTAATTAAGAGGCTTCTAAATTTTATTAGTCTTTTCAAATAATACATTTTTGTATTTGTTAATCTTCCACAATATATTTTGTTTTCTGTTTAATTAATTGTTTCTGTTATCTTTTTAATTTTCTTTGTACTACTTCGTCTGGGTTTTCTCTGATTCTTTCTCTAATGTCTTAGATACTTAACACTCTGCCTTTTGGGAAAAAAAAACAAGCATGTGACTCGACAATTATTTCTTGGATAAGACACCAAAAGCACAAGCAATAAAAATAAAAATTGGCAAATAGGACCACATCAATCTTAAACACTTTTGTGTATCAAAGCACACAATCAACAGAGTCAAAAAGCAACCTACAGAATAGGGGGCAATGTTTGCAAGTCATATATCTGATAAGAGGTTAATATCCAAAATATATACAGAACTCTCATAACTCAACAACAAAAAATTAAACCACCTGATTAAAAAGTAGGCAAAAGACTTGAATAGGCATTTCTTCACAAATGTTATACAAATGCTAACATATTAAAAGATGTTCAACATCACTAATAATCAGAGTAATGCAAATCAAAACCACAATGATATATCATCTTATACCCATTAGGATGGCTACTAAAAAATATATGGATAATAGCAAGTGTTGGCAAGAATGTGGAGAAATTGAAATCTTTGCACGCTGTTGATGGAATTGTAAAATAGTGCAATTGCTATGTAAATCATTACGACTATTTCTCAAAAAATTAAAATTAGAACTATCATATGATACAGAAATCCCATTTCTGGGTATCTGTCCAAAAGAATTGAAAGCAGGACCTTAAAGAGATATTTGCACGCTTATGTTCACAACAGTCAAGAAGTGGAAGCAACTCAAATGTCCATCCACAGATGAATGGATCAACAAAATGTGGTCTGTACAAAAAATGGAATATTATCCAGCCTTAAAAAGATTAGAAAATCCTGTTACATGCCACAAGATGGATGAACCTTGAGGGCATTATGCTTAGTGAAATACATCAGTCACAAACAGACAAACCCTGTATGATTTCACTTATACGTGATATCTAAAGCAATTAAAGTCATAGAAACAGAAAGTAGAATAATCAGGACTGAGAGGAGGAGGTGAAAGGGGAGTTGTTTAACAGGTAGAAAGTTTCAGTTTTACAAGATGAAGAGTTCTGGCGGTCTCTTTCACAATAATATGAATATGCTTAACACTACTGAATTGTACACCTAAAAGAGGTTGAGATGGTAAATTTTGTGTTATGTGTTTTTACCACAAAAAAATCATGCATTTAAGGCCATTGTTTCCTGCAAATACTTTAGCAACGATTTTTCAAGTTGATATGTGACGTTTGTATTATAGTTTAGATTCTCAATTGTAAACTATAAATTAGGATACTTAATAACACCTATTTCTTGTAAAAACAAATGGGTAAACCACTGAGAAATGTGTTAATAAGTAAATGTTTAACTACGAAGATATTTAATTAGAGTTGTCCTTATCCTTACCCTTTTCCTTTCCCTTTCTTTCACCTTCACCTCTTTTTCCTTCTTCTATCTCTTCTTCTTCTCTCTCATTTTCTTTATTTTAATAGATTGAGGATATTTTTCTCTTTTTGTTTTTTTTTCTTGTTTCACCAACTCCCACTCACTTAAAAGGCATGCCCTTTTTTCTCTTCTTTTTATTCTTACAGAACTGTTGACATGCATACTTCACAAAGACTAAAGTTAATCTATTTATCCTTATTTTAAACAATATAAGGTCTTTAGAATACTTTAGTTGCAATAACCGTTCTTCCTGGTTTACATATAATTATTATATAATATTTTTGCTTAATTATAATGCCATAATAAAACACTACTATTGGCTGGGCACAGTGGCTCACGCCTGTAATCCCAGCACTTTGGGAGGCCGAGGCGGGCAGATCACAAGGTCAGGAGATAGAGAACATACTGGCTAACACGGTGAAACACTGCCTCTATTAAAAATACAAAAAATTAGCTGGGTGTGGTGGCGGGCACCTGTAGTCCCAGCTGCTCGGGAGGCTGAGGCAGGAGAATGGTGTGAACCCAGGAGGTTGAGCTTGCAGTGAGCCGAGATGGCACCACTGCACTCCAGCCTGGGCGACAGAGCGAGACTCCATCTCAAAACAAAAAACAAACAAACAAAAAAAACAACACTATTATTATTTGTTACATGTTAAAAATAACAAAAATGTTTGTTTAGATTTACTCACATGTTTAACTTTTTTATTCCCTTAGTTATCAGAAATTTCATCTGAGACAGAAGAAATCACTTTGGTCTATAGTTTAGACACGGACTATTCTTTTCTTTGTATATTTGAAAATATCTTTATATTTCATTCATTATTAAAATATAGAGTTTCTAAGCATTGAATTCTCGGTTTTCAATTCTATTTTATTTCAAGATTTTAATGCCTACTAGCTTTCATCTTTGCTAGAGAAATCAGCTGTCAATCTAATTAGTGATTGTTTTAAAGAAATTGCTTTTCTCTCTGTCTTCTTTTGAGTGATATTATTTGTTTTTGATGTATTGTAGTTTTACTAGAATATTTACTGATGATTTTTTTATTTATAACCCTGTTTGAAATTCAAAGGGCTTCCCAATCTAGGGATTCATAGCTTTCACTGATTCTGAATAAAATTTCTACATTTTTCTTTCTAATATTTTCTCTCCCTCATCTCTTTTATTTCCTTTTTGAATTCCTATGTCTCCTTCTTCCATATTAATAATTACTTTTCTTTAATATCTTCCTTCTCTTATTTCTTTGTGTTACATTATGAGTGATTTTTTATGAAATTATATGATGATACGGTTCACTAAATTTCTCTTCAGTTATGCCTAACCCTTTAAATAAGTTTCTAATTTGAATTGATTTTTTTATTTCTAGGATTTTTCTAGATTTCTTTGCAAACTGTTCTTATTTTTATAACCTCTCCTTGTTCATATTTTTTAATTTCCATCCTGTATTTTGTTAAATTTATTAAGCACAAAATAATATACATTTATTTTGTATATTATAACTGATAATTTTAATACTGGAAGACAATCTATTTTGAAAGTTGGTTGTTTATAGAAATTTTGAGGCATAAGTTGAATAACATTTCCTCCAGGGACAAAATGCATTTGCTTTTCTATATACTGAAGCTCACTACAGACTTGGATCAGCTTTAAATTCTATTTATAGAATTTGTATATTTAACATTATGCAAAGTGTATTGGTTCAGGCATCACACCCTTGTGAGACCAGCCAGCGTTCCTGTAATTGCATGAAAACTTTTCTTAATCTGTACCTAGAGCCAAAGATGAGCGGGAAAATTTTCATTTAGTTTATGTTTTAGTTTACCACTTCCCTGATGATATAGCATCTCTTGTACCAACTATCTCCAGGACAGTTTTCAATATGGCTTCTGGCACTGCTGCATCCAAGGCTTTGTCCCAGAATACTATGCTCTAGGAGAACAGTATATCCAGAAGATTTAGAGCCTACTTATCTCTCTGAAGTTCTGCTATTGTTTTGATTCTGGCAGGAGGACAGTTTATTACTATCTCACAGGTTTATTTTTTACATGAAAGTATGTATTTTATCAAACACTCTCATATGTTTTTGGCAGAAGGTTTTCAGAGTCTCTAGTTGGACATATTGCTAGTAATAGAAGTCTGTAATAAAAGAATACTTTCCGTATTTCAGATGTAATATATTGGTCAATTATAAATATTTTGTTTAACTTACATCTGTGATTTGTCCTTTGATTTGTTTATAACATTTTTGATACAGGACATTTTAATTTTTTTTTTGAGACAGCATTTTGGTCTGTTGCCCAAGCTGGAGTGCAATAGCATGATAATGGCTCACTACAGCCTCAACCTCCTAGGCTCAAGTGATCCTTCCTCCTCCGTCTCCCAAATAGCTGGGATCTCAGGTGCATGCCACCCTGCCTGGCTAATTTTTTAAAAGTTTTATAAGGCAAGGTCTCACTCTGTTGCCCAGGCTGGTCTCAAACTCCTGGGTTCAAGTGATCCTCCCAGCTCGGTCTCTCAAAATGCTGGGATTAATTACAGGTGTGAGCCAAGGCACTGGGCCTAGGACATTTCAATTTTAATATTCAAATTTATATATATTTTTAAATAATTTGTGCTTTTGCTTCATAATTTTTAAAAGTCATCTCCTATCACAAGTTTATGAAGATGTATTCCATATTTTTAATAAAAATATCAAATGTTTTTCTTTAGTCATTGAGACCTTTATTCCAGCTGGAACTAATTTATATGTATGAAGTAAGGTAAGGATGTCATTTTTCCGCATAGATAACCAATAGCAAGCACCATTTATTAAATGGTTCACCATTTCCTCACTCGCTCATGTAAGTTTTCATATATATGTGAGTCTTTATTAGAGAGAAACTTTTGATTGATCAGTAAATGTGTTTAATGATTATCTTTCCAGGTTTTTAAAAGTTTCTTCTTATATTGATTTTGAACCTTTTAATTTTATTGAGAAATTGTTTATGTCTTTGAAGTTATATTAGCATAAAGCTTATAGAAATATGTTATGCCTTTAAAATATTCTAAATTGTTTCTAGAGTTTCATGAGTTTATTTTTGAACCCTGATATGTCTTTCTGCTTTGCTCTTTTTAGACTTAATCTGACATTGCTATGTGTTCAAAGCAAAGGGGGTACCTTCAAGTTTAAACTTAGTAGACCATTTTGATCTGAACTTACATTTTGAAAAGATTACACATTTTTATTCTTGCTAGGAAAATGTTCACTTGGTACTATAATTTGCATTTCTTTATTAGTGAAGCTAAATATTATCTTTCATGTATATATTAATCATTTATACTTCATTTCTGCGAATTGTCTGCTCAAGTACTCTGTCCTCTCCCCCACTATATTTTGTATTAGCTTCCTGGTAGTTTTATCATGAATTAATATGAAATATTTATATATGAACCCTTTGTCTATTATATTTGAAGTGAATATTTCCCTCATGTATTTGCTTTTTGATATATGTTTTCAGTTGTACTTTGTACTTTTAAATTTGTATTTTATTCTTTGCCTGTATTGCATCATCCATCTCCAAAGACTTTAATAACTTTTTTATCATATGTATACTGCAGGTCTAATATATATGTGTATTTACGCATACACATATGTATAACATGTATATGTATATATATACTGCTGACTTGAAAAATGTCAATAAATGGATTAACTTCTTTTCAAAGGTCATAGGATGATTTGAAAGGATTTGAAACTATCTAGAACATTCATTTCAAATGATTTGAAACTATTAGAACATTCATTTAAAATACACAAGTTAATAAATGTGATACACCACATAAACAGAAAAAAAATCACATGATCATCTCAATAGATGCAGAAAAAAATATTTGATAAAACCCAGCATCCCTTTATGATTAAAATCCTCAGCAAAATCGGCATACAAAGGACATAGCTTAATGTAATAAAAGCCTTCTATGACAAACCTAGAGCCAACATAATACCGAATGGGGAAAAGTTGAAAAATTTCTCTCTCAGAACGGGAACAAGACAAGGATGCCCACTGTCACCACTCCTCTTCAACATACTACTGGAAGTCCTAGCCAGAGAAATCAGACAAGAAAAGAAAATAAAGGGCATCCAAATCAGTAAAGAGGAAGTCAAACTGTCCTTGTTTATGGATGATATGACCATTGAAAACCCTAAGGACTCCTCCAGAAAGCTCCTAGAATTGATAAAACAATTCAGCAAAGTTTCCAGATACAAGATTAATATACGCAAATCAGTAGGTCTACTATACACCAACAGTGACCAAGCAGAGAATCAAATCAAGAACTCAATCCCTTTTACAATAGCTGCAAAAAAAAAAAAAAATACTTAGGAATATACCTAACAAACAAGTTGGAAGACATCTACAAGGAAAACTACAAAATATTGCTGAAAGAAATCATAGATGACACAAACAAATGGAAACACATCCCATGCTCATGGATGGGTACAATCAATATTGTGAAAATGACCATACTGCCAAAAGCAATCTACAAATTCAATGCAATCCCCATCAAAATACCACCATCATTTTTCACAGAGTTAGAAAAAGCAATTCTAAAATTCATATGGAACTAAAAAAAAGCCCACATAGCCAAAGCAAGACTAAGCAAAAAGAACAAATCTGGAGGCATCACACTACCTGATCTCAAACTTCACTATAAGGCCACAGTCACCGAAACAGCATGGTACTGGAACAAAAATAGGCACATAGACCAACGGAACAGAATAGAGAACCCAGAAATAAACCCAAATACTTACAGCCAACGGCTCCTTGACAAAGCAAACAAAAACACAAAGTGGGGAAAAGACACTCTTTTCAACAAATGGTGCTGGGATAATTGGCTAGCCACATATAGGAGAATGAAACTGGCTCCTCATCTCTCACCTTGTACAAAAATCAACTCAAGGTGGATTAAGGACTTAAACCTAAGACCTGAAACTATAAAAATTCTAGAAGATAACGTTGGAAAAACCCTTCTATACATTGGCTTAGGCAAGGATTTTATGACAAAACCACAAAAGCAAATGCAATAAAAACAAAGATAAATAGCTGGGACCTAATTAAACTAAAGAGCTTTTGCATGGCAAAAGGAGCAGTCAGCAGAGTAAACAGACAGCCCACAAAGTGGGAGAAAATCTTCACAAACTATGCATCTGATAAAGGACTAATATCCAGAATCTACAACGGACTCAAACAAATCAGTAAGAAAAAAAAAACAATCCCATGAAAAAGTGGGCTAAGGACATGAATAGACAATTCTCAAAAGAATATATATAAATGGCCAACAAACATATGAAAAAATGCTCAACATCACAAATGATCAGGGAAATGCCAATCAAAACCACAGTGCGATACCACCTTACTCCTGCAAGAATGGCCATGATCAAAAAATCAAAAAACAGTAGATGTTGGTGTGGATACAGTGATCAGGGAACACTTCTACAATGCTGGTGGGAATGTAAACTAGTACAGCCACTATGGAAAACAGGTGGAGATTCCTTAAAGAACTAAAAGTAGAACTACCATTTGATCCAGCATTCCCACTCCTGGGTATTTATCTGTAGGAAAAGAAGTCATTATTCGAAAAAGATACTTGCACATGCATGTTTATAGCAGCACAATTCACAATTGCAAAATCATAGAACCAACCCAAATGCTCATCAATCAACGAATAGATAAAAAAACTGTGGTATATGTACATGATGGAATACTACTCAGCTATGAAAAGGAATGAATTAACAGCATTTCTAATGACCTGGATGAGATTGGAGACTATTATTCTAAGTGAAATAACTCAGGAATGGAAAACCAAATATCTTATGTTCTCACTGATATGTGGGAACTAAGCTATGAGGACACAAAGGCATAAGAATGATACAATGGACTTTGGGGACTTGGGGGGAAGAGTGGAAGTGGAGGTGAGGATTAAAAGACTACAAATATGGTGCAGTGTATACTGCTTGGGTGATGGGTGCACCAGGATCTCACAAATCTCCACTAAAGAACTTATTCATGTAACCAAATACCACCTGTACCCCAATAACTTATGGAAAAAAAATAGAATAATAGCTTCGAGGATTTATGTAAATATGTATATTGTATAATATTATCAACTTGATATGGCAATTGATTTTGCTGAAGGTGCTACTACAATAATTAAGAATATTTATAACATTAATATGAAAGTTCCCTAATGGGGAAACTGAATGAACAAGAGGGCTTACTTTCCAATTACTTTCTTTACAAATAAAAAATTACAAATGTGAGATGAACCAACTTTAATTGCAAAGAAAAATGTGAGAAGTGACATTTTAACACTTCAATATACTAGTGATCTCAGCCAAAAGAAATGTAAAATCAACCAAGGGTACTGTCATCTGTTTTTTCAGGGCCTGACAACCAGAGGAATAAACAGTTAATATGTTAAAATTATTCACTGCTAACATATCATTATGATCCCTAAATATCACCCTAACCATGCTGATTGGACCCTGACAGAAATGAGTAAAAGTGCCATTTAGTTAGCAGTACAACATTATCAACAAGCTAATAAAGATGACGTTCCAGAATGTCAGATTAGAAGAGCAGAAGGAAATGGGGGTAGGGATGTGTAGGTAAAATCAAAGAAAGCAAAGGATACCACTGACACGGTTGAGGAATCAGATTAATAAAATCAGTCGTTAAACACTAAAAACCAGTCAATGTATTTCATGTTTTTATTACTATCTCATCATCAACCATTCACCTTGGTTTTTGCAACCATTTTCTCAGCAAGGCAGTCTCATAGAGAAAACTGTTCAAAGTAGATGAGACTTGATACTTTAGAGAATTCAAAAAGGATGTTCCTCTCTCTTCATCCACCATTTAATTGAAACGCAGTAGTACTTGACCTTGAAATACTATGCCTTACTTTTGTCTATGTCACCATCTGCAATCAATCAAAGCAATAAAGTTAATTCAGCAGTTTCCAAAATATTTTTGGTGAGTCAAAACCTGTAATTTTTCTACATGAAAGTTTGAAAAAAGAAAAAGAAATATATATAGGACAGCTTTTAAGTTTTTATTGGTTTGCCCTTTCCCACCCCTCAAGTATCAGGTTAGAAATTTCAGAGAAGTAAAAACTATAAATAGCAATTGAAAAAAAATGTATGAGGTACTTTGTCCTAGAATGCTACCTGACATAGACAGTGGTAATTCTAATAAGCTATTCTTGAATCTGCTCTCCTACTTTTATAAAAAATGTCTCTAGTGGAAATTGTCCTTAGCATCACCGGCTATTCCTTTAAATAATTCTTTCATTTATTTATTAATTAAATGAGTATTACAAGTAAGGCACTGCACAGAATACTGGAGATACTGTGACAAATATCAAAAGACACCATTTCTGCTCTCATGAAGTTTACAGGCTTGTGGGAACGCAGTCATAAATAAAATAATCATAATAATGAGTATGTAATTACAAATTGAGATAAATGCTCTGAAGGAAAGGAACAGGTTCTTGGAGATCATAAACCAAGGAGGCCGAGACTGGGAAATGTGGGAGAGTTTCCCTCATAAAGTGACCCTTGGGCTGGAGTTAAGAAAGAGGAGAAAGATGGAGGAAGAGAGAACATTCCAGACAAGGGTAATAATGAGAGCAAGGCCCTTTGACCAGAGGAAGCCCGGAAGCCATTCCTCTACTTCTTCCTCCCTAGTCCCCCAGAGCGGGCGGATTACAGCCTAAAGAGAGGGTCTTCCCAATGCTGCAGCTACTGCTATTTAATGGTATAAAGCTGAATCCAGGATTTTAAAAATTCCTGCTTGGAGTGAGACCACAAATGGAATTGTGATGTGCCTGGGAGCTCATTGCCTGGGGCATCTTTCCTAAATTCACCAGGAAAGACATGAGCTTTAGCCCTTCTCTGATGGGAACAACTGTTATTTAGACAACAACAGCTAAACAGCACATGACCCCTGAAACAGAACTATTGAAGCAAATGGAACAAAAATGGAATCTTTTTATGGACTTTCCTGCCTTTGTAAGGCCCCCTTCCCTTTTCCAAGGCTTCCCGTACTATTCCTATCACCTCTGTCTACCTTAAGAACATGGGGACTTATCTCATCTGTTCTTTATCTTGCTTACATTGGTCACTAAAAGAAGTCTAGGTCGGGCTTGGTGGCTCACTCCTGTAATCCTAGCACTTTGGGAGGAGGCAAAGGTGGGTAGATCACCTGAGGTCAGGAGTTCGAGATCAGCCTGGCCAACATAGTGAAACCCCGTCTCACTACTAAAAGTACAAAAATTAGCCTGTGTGGTGGTGGGTGCCTGTAATCCCAGCTACTTGGGAGGCTGAGGCAGGAGAATAGCTTGAACCTGGGGGTTGGAGGTTGCAGTGAACCAAGATCATGCCACTTCACTCCAGCCTGGGCAAAAGAGCATCTCAAAAAAAGAAGAAGTCTAGGACTCTTAGGTCCTTTCTGATTTCCCATACCTTACATTTCTTATACCCCCTTCTTTGACCAATCTCCACCCTTTCCTAAGTCCTGAACCCTTCCACTGGGCCCTCCAGATGTCCCTATCAGTCATCAGCAAATCCCTCTGATCATTGACCTTTTTGCTCTACTTTTCCCTTACCTTCAGGCTCTAAATAAAACCTGGATTTCCCTGGAGGACACGACTTTCCCATAGTCTCTTTCAGTGGTGATTCTTTTCTCTCTCATGCCCCTCTTATTCCTGAATTCGGAGATATGGCAGATGCCTTCCTAGCATTTCTTTGTTGCTTCTTGTTCAGTCTCTGTCCTCTTCCCCAGATATTTCCAGTTTTGATTCTCAGGCCAAACCTTTATTTCTTCTTACTGCAGTTGTCTACTAACCCTGTCATTCCCTGAACATCTAGCTCCTGGCTCCTGTCATTCTCTTCAGCACCATGCTTGTATTATCTATTTTCATGCTGCTGATAAAGACAAACCTGAGACTGGGCAATTTACAAAAGAAAGAGATTTAATGGACTTACAGTTCCACATGGCTCTGGAGGCCTCACAATCGTGGTGGAAGATGAAAGGCACGTCTCACATGGTGGCAGACAAGAGAAGAGAGAGCTTGTGCAGGGCAACTCCCCCTTATGAAACCATCAGATTTAATGAAACTTATTCACTATCAGGAGAACAGCACAGGAAAGACCTGCCCCCATAATTCAATTACCTTCCACTGGGTCCCTCCCATAACATGTGGGAATTCAAGATGAGATTTGGGTGGGGACACAGCCAAACCATATCAATACCTGTCATAAGTCTTAGGTGATTTCAATATGCACGTGGATGATGTTTATGATAACTGGCCTTCCAGAACCATGATCTCTTCTCCTCAAATGAGAAGGGACTGCTGAGAATTCCATAAATCTTTTTATTACTGATAACTGCAACCACTCCATAATCTTGATTACAAGTATCCTATTTCCAGACCACTGGCTTCACTCTTTCTAGCTCAATCTAATTTCCAAATTCCAATAATTCATCACCTTACAGGGAACTGCAATCCATTTTTCTACCACCTTTAACTGCCCTGTATGCTCTTATGCCCTCATTTCCCTACTTAACAAGCTTACATCTCAAAGAAATGAATGAAGAATAGATAAAACCACATAATATATAAAATTATTTAACAATACTAATAACTCCTGAATTTAGAAAGGAAAATATAAGGAAAAGGACAAAATGTGTAAAATTAAATGAAAATACCCATAATCATTTCTAAGTTTGCTGGCTTCAAATTAAAGCTTCGTCTACATTTAAATATATTATTTCATTTAAGCATATTTATTAGGAAATAAAAGTTGAAAATAAATAAGCAAATCATTCAGCACAAGAAGTTATAAAGTAGCAGTACAAACATAAAGAAATAATAAAAATATGGGCCAAAATAAATAAAATGAGGAGAAAAATAAAAATAGAGAAGCTTAATTGAACTGAATGCAAAGTTTAATAAGGTAGACCTCTGGTAAAACCGATTTTAAAAAAGATAAATTAACAAAATACAGAGTGAAAATGGAGAAACAACTAGCCATGATAGAAATTAAAAATGGTAAGAGTATTATGAAGAACTATATGCTCATTAAAATCAGCAAAGTCATGCCTTAGCCATAATATTTTTCTAGGAAGTTTTATTAGCCATTTAGAATAAAAGAATAATTGGTCTTTACAATCTAAGTAAAGCTGATGTGAGTTTATAGCAAATGAAGGAGAAACAGAAAGGCAAGAAGGGGGAGGAGGAAAAAGCAAAGAGCAAATGTGAAAAGAGCAAAGACAGTAAAGACATTGAAACAGCAATAAAAAATCTCAACTCCCAAAAAAGATTCTGTCCCAGATGATTTTGCAGGTAATTTTGTTCAAACTTGTAAGGAAGATGTAGTTCTATTTTGTAAAAGTTTTTTCAGAAAAAAAGCAAGAGTAAAAGCTATCTAGCTCATTTTATCAAACGATTATAAACTTACACAATGAGATAAAACAATAAAAATAACAAAAAATACAGGTTAATTTTACTAATGAACACAGATGAAAAAATCCTTTAAATTATACTGACTGAATCTTTCAGTATTTAAAAATTAATAAAGCAAGTATGAATTAAATAGCAACATAAATTCTATTAACCTTACTCAACACATTATCAACTAAGAAAAAATTGCATATCTCAATTAATGCATTGAAAATATTGATAAGATTTAGTTATCATTACAACTTTTCAAACACCAAGAATAAAAAAGGACTTCCTTAATTTGATAAGATACAAAGAACCTACAGTAGACATTGTACTTAATGATGAAGCATCATACTTATTCCCTTCAAGATGTGAAACAAGACAAAGTTTCCCACTATCACCACTATTCTTCAGCAAAGTAGGTCTTGGGCAATGCTGTTAAGAAAATAAGTAAGAAATAGTTCAACCATTGTGGAAGACAGTGTGGCGATTCCTCAAGGATCTAGAACTAGAAATACCATTTGACCCAGCCATCCCATTACTGGGTATATACCCAACGGATTATAAATCATGCTGCTATAAAGACACATGTTTATTGTGGCACTATTCACAATAGCAAAGACTTGGAACCAACCCAAATGTCCATCAATGATAGACTGGATTAAGAAAATGTGGCACATATACACCATGGAATACTATGCAGCCATAAAAAAGGATGAGTTCATGTCTTTGGAGGGACATGGATGAAGCTGGAAACCATCATTTTGAGCAAACTATCACAAGGACAAAAAACTAAACACCGCATGTTCTCACTCATAGGTGGGAATTGAACAATGAGAACCCTTGGACACAGGAAGGGGAACATCACACACTGGGGCCTGTCATGAGGTAGGGGGAGGGGGGAGGGATAGCATTAGGAGATATACCTAATGTAAATGACGAGTTAATGGGTGCAACACACCAACATGGCACATGTATACATATGTAACAAACTTGCACGTTGTGCACATGTACCCTAGAACTTAAAGTATAATAATAAAAAAAGAAAATAAGTAAGAAATAATAGATATAAGCATCAAAAAGGGGGACATTAAACTTTCATTATATACAAAATACATAATTATCTGCCTTAAAACTCCAAAAGTTTCAACAATTATTGAAGTGGTAAGAGAGTTCAGCAACAATTAAAAACAAAACACAACTGAACTTATACAAATCAATAGAATTTATCTATCTCAGTAGAGATTATAAAACAGGATTATACATGCACACCCTCTATTATAAAGCTTGGCAGTGCTATCCTCCAGGGTCTACTTTAGGCAGAGTATACTTCCTTCCAAAGTGATACTGACCTTGGCCATCTGACTTGCTTTGACCAATGGCCTGTTAGTGGACTGAATGAGAACAGAAGCTTTAAACCTACTTGAATGGTTTGGTTTTGTCCTCTTGCATTCCTGCTAGTTATCAAAAGAATATTCCTTGGGTAGCCAGTGTTCCAAGGAGAATGAAGAGATGTATAGAGCAAACCTGCATATAATTGTAGCTTAGAGTTAAGCCCAGGTGATTTTAGCCATGTACTGCAGAGCCCTAACCCTCCTGTAGACCCTTGAGAAAAAATAGACATGCTTAGTTTTGTAAGACACTCAGTTTTAGACTGGTTTGTTATACTGCATTACTGTGGCAATAGCTAAGTAATAAAATGAGTGATATATAAGTTGAAGCATAACCAAAAATAAAACCAAAATGTTTATTATATTGAGACTCTGAGCTTGAGATTTTTTTACTGCTTAGTATTATTGTGGTAGTAGCTAATTAAGATGGCCAGTAATAACAAATTGAAAATATAATTAAAAATGGGATTCTCACCACAATAGCAACCAAAAACTATGTTCCTAGATATAAAATGTAAGAATACAAACTATCTAAAAGTAACCTAATAAGGACTACAGAAAGCTCTATCATGTAATTTATATCATGTAAAACTAACTCTATCATGCATCATAGAAGATAATATAAATAAGTGAAGGAAGTTCCATTAACTTACATTAAAAATACATGGCTATGTTTTATAAGACTACATCTAAATAAAATAATTTATATTCATCGTATTAGAATGGGAGCCTGTGGGTGGAGGACAGCAAATGGGTGTTGGAAAAGGAGACAATGGACAATTAATTAGAGAAGAAAGTCATAAACCCTCTATACTTGAGGTCCAGAAAAAAACAATGGAATGAAAAGCATCCATTATAGAGCACCCAGAAAATATTGAATACTAAGAAGAAGATATTGATGTCTAATATACATACACACAACAATACAGTACATATTTCCAAAGTGAGAGAGAAATTAAGCCTTCTTTTTAATCAATTAAATGCTTTCTAAAGCAGAGACTAGTAACAGGAAAAAAAGTCTTAAAACTTCCAATTCTGTCTTTCTATATGTAATTATTTGTGGCTGGCTTTTCAGACACCTGGCTCTCTTCAAGTAAGAAGCACCAATCATTCTGACATCTGTGATATGAGTGATCATCATCATAATCAGTTGAATCCATGTGAATGTTCTCTGAGGATTGCAGGGTCTACTTTACACCTTGTGTGGGATTGCATGATCTATAAACACCCTATGAACCTGCTTAGAGGGAATAAATATGTGATATTTTCTTTAAAGTTGAAAAGAGATGGAAAGCCCGGCGGGCCAGGAGAAGTTTTGGGTGATTTCCTTATAATTCAGCTTCCCAGTGTTTGTTCACTCCAGCCTGAACCATGGGGTGTTGTAGGAATGCCTCTCTGGGCCTTGAAGATGGAATGGCTCCCTGCAGCAGAAGTACGCTGTGAACCAGGGTGTGGGGTGGATCGTGGAATTCTGGTCACCTTGTTTCTGCCTTTCCCAGAAAATCTCCTCACATCTACCTTGACAAAGAGATCTTTTCTCCCTGAGAAGTTATATATTAACAATAGGTGCAATTTAATGTGTGCGCTCTGTTCAACCAAGTGCTAGGTACTCTGCTTATAGTGAATCTCCTCATAATAATCCTGTGTTTTCTCCAGATTGAGAAACTGGAGCTCAGATAAGTTAAGTAATTTATTCAAGGCCATGCAATTAATTAGAAACTGAAGTCTGCCTGATTCCAAAGACCCTGTTCCTTTAGCTAGAGAGTCTTGCCGCAGATCACATAACTGGTGTATGGCAGAACCTTGATTTAAAGCGAGGTCTTGACTCCACCATTTTGGTTTTCACCACTCAATAAATAGTTGTTCAGTGAATAAATGAATGAATGGATGAACTAATCAGCCAATCAGTGTGGTTTTAAAAATGGGACATACTTGATATACTTTAGGAGTGAATGTTAAGAGATATATTATGAATTCCATACATCTTTATTAGATTTGAGTAATAGCAGTTACTCTTGCCAGGGATGAAAGGCAGTATTGATTCCTAACTGATTCAGATCATGCTATGGACTGAATGTTTCCATCCCCCTGAAATTCATGTGTTGAAGCCTAAATCTTCAATGGGATGTTATTGAGGTAGGAGAATATAGGGAATTGGGGTGACCAAGGGTTGAGGCATGGATAGGAGAACAGCAGGTGCAGCCATTTTGTATAGGCAGGAGAGCCTCAGGTGCAACATATAGACCACATCCTTGCTCCCATGATAGCAAGGCACTTCAGCCTCTGATTGACTGTGCCAGGTCTCTACTGATTGGTCTCAGGCCAGTCCACCATGGGGTGTAGCCAATTGTAGGCTTCTGGGAGGCACCAAAGGGTGTTGCTGGGTTCTTTTTAGCTTAATAACAACTCTAATTGAAGAGGCTTTTGAGCCTCTTGCTTGCTCTGGAGCCACCCATTCCCACTCTGTGAATTGTCTTCAATAAATCCGTGCTTTCGGTACCCAGTTCTTCAGTTGCTTTGTCTTTTGTTGCTTTGTTTTTTGTTGCTTTGTTCTTTTTTTTTACTTTGTGTGTTTTGTTCAATTCTTTGTTCAACAGGCCAAGAACCTGGACAACTCTATCCAGTAATTGTATTTGGAGGTGTGCTTTTAGGAGGTAATTAGAGTTAAATGAGGTCATAAGGATGGAGCTCCCATGATGGGGTGAGTGCGTTTGTAAAGAGAGAACTTGCTTTCTCTCTCTACCATGTGAGGACACAGTAACAAGGCAACCATCTGCAAACTAGGAAGAGGGTTCTTACCAGAACCAGACCATGCTGGGACTTGATCTCAGACATCTCAGTCTCCAGAACTATGAAGAACAAATTTATATTGTTTAATCCATCAGGTGTATGGTATTTTTGTTATAGTAGCTGAGATGGTTTGGCTGTGTCCCCACCCAAATCTAATCTTGAATTGTAGCTCCCATAATCCCCACATGTTGTGGGAGGGACCCAGTGAGAGGTAATTTAATCATGGGGTGGGGGTTACCCTCATGCTATTCTCATGATACTGAGTGAGTTCTCACAAGATCTGATGGTTTTATAAGGTTCTTTTCCCCCTTCTTGCTTGGCACTTCTTCCTGCTGCCACCATGTGAAGAAGGACATGTTTGCTTTGCCTTCCGCCATGATTGTAAGTTACCTGAGGCCTCCCCAGGCACGCTGAACTGTGAGTCAATTAAACCTCTTTACTTTATAAATTACCCAGTCTTGGGTGTGTCTTTTTTAGCAGCGTGAGAACAAACTAATACAGTAAATTGGTACCAGAAGTGAGGTTCTGCTATTAAGATACCCAAAAATGTGGAACTTTCTTTGGAACTGGGTGACAGGAAGAGGCTGGAGCAGTGTAGAGGGCTCAGAAGAAGTCAGGAAGATGTAGAAAAGTTTGGAGCTTCCTAGAGACCTATTGAATGGTTTTTGACCAAAATGCTGATAGTGATATGGACAATAAAGTTCAGACTGAGGTAGTCTCAGATGGAGATGAGGAAGTTATCAGGAATGGAAGCAAAGGTGATTCTTGCTATGCTTTAGCAAAGAGACTGGCAGCATTTTGCCTCTGCCCTACAGATCTGTGGAACTTTGAACTTGAGAGAGATGATTTAGGGTATTTGGAGGAAAAAAAATTTAAGCAGCAAAGTGTTGAAGATGTCAGTTGGATGCTCTTAAAAGGATTGTTTTATTCATTCACAAATATATGGCTTAGAATTGGAAAAAAAAGGGAAGCAGAGGATAAAAGTTCATAAAATTTGCAGCCTGACAATGCAATAGAAAAGTCCATTTTCTAAGGAGAAATTCAAGCCAGCTGCAGAAATTTGCATAAGTAACAAGGAGCCAAATGTTAATCATTAAGACAATGAGGAAAATGTCTCCAGGGCATGTCAGAGATCTTCATGGCAGCCCCTCCCATGACAGGCCCAGAGGCCTAGAAGAAAAAATGCTTTTTGGGCCTTGCTGCTTTGTTCACTCTGAGAACTTGGTGCCCTACATCCCAGCTGTGGCTAAAAGGTGCCAATGTACAGCCCAGGCTGTTGTTTCAGAGGGTGCAGGTGCAGGCCACAAACCTTGGTGGCTTTCATGTGGTGTTGAGCCTGTGGGAGCACAGAAATCAAAAATTGAGGTTTGGAGACCTTTACCTAGATTTCAAACGATGTTTGGAAATCCCTGCGTGTCCAGGCAGAAGTTTGCTGCAGGGGTGGGGCCCTCTTGGAGAACCTCTGCTAGGGCAGTGTGAAAGGGAAGTGTGGGGTGGGAGCCCACACACAGAGTCCTCACTGGGGCACTGCCTAGTGGAGCTGTGAGAAGAGGGCCACCATCCTCCAGACCTTGGAATGGTAGATCCACTGAGAGCTTGCACTGTGCACCTGGAAAAGCTGCAGACACTCAATGCCAGCCCATGAAAGCAGCCAGAAGAGGGGCTGTACACTGCAAAGCCACAGGGGTGGAGCTGCCCAAAACCATGGGAACCCACCTGTTGTATCAGCGTGACCTGGATGTGAGACATAGAGTCAAAGGAGATCATTTTGGAGCATTAAGATTTGACTGCCCCACTGGATTTTGGACTTGCATGGGGCCTGTAGTCCCTTCATTTTGGCCAATTTCTCCAATTTGGAATGGGTGTATTTACCCAATGCTGTACTCCATTGTATCTAGGAAGTAACTAACTTGCTTTTGATTTTACAGGCTCCTAGGCAGAAGGGACTTGCTTTGTCTCAGATGAGATTTTGGATGGTGGACTTTTGAGTTAATGCTGAAATGAGTTAAGATTTCAGGGGACTGTTGGGAAGGCATGATGCATTTTGAAATGTGAGGACATGATATTTGGGAAGGTCCAGGGACAGAATGATATGGTTTGGCTGTGGTATCCACCCAAATCTCATCTTGAATTGTAGTTCCCATAATCCCCACATGTAGTGAGAGAGACCTGGTGGGAGGTAATTTTATCATGGGGGCAGTTACACTCATGATGTTCGAATGATAGTGAAGTGAGTTCTCAAGAGATCTGATGGTTGTATAAGGTTCTTTTCCCCCTCTTGCTTGGCACTTCTCCTTGCTGCCATCATGTGAAGAGGGACATGTTTACTTCCCCTTCCACTATGATTGTAAGTTACCTGAGGCCCCCCCAGCTATGTTGATCTGTGAGTCAATTAAACCTCTTTCATTTATAAATTACTCAGTCTTGTGTATGTCTTTATTAGCAGCATGAAAACAGACTAATACAGGAGCCCAAAGTGACTAAGAACAGAGGTTGAAACCTATAGGGTAGGACTTAAGGCAGGGATTGAAAGCCAGATACTGAAGGCAGGCTACAACGTAATCCTATCACACAGATACACTATGCTAGGAAATAAATTAACTGGAGTCAGAAAGATAAATATAAACACTCTAATATTAAATAAACTCTTTAAGCTTCAGTTTCTTTATCTGCTCAAGGGAAATAATAGTACCTATTTCCCTGCATTTTGTGAGGATTAAATGAGATAATACAGGTAAAGTACTTGGAACAGTGCCAATGTATATATAGTAAGCATTATAAAAAGTAATCGTTATAATAATAATTATTAATATTACTGTCTAAGTTCCTGCTTTTAAGGAACCAAGAAGTAGGAGTCATGGAGGTATAACAACTCATAGTGTTTCTTGAATGACAGTGGTGTCACATAAATTAAGATATAAAAAGCAGAATTGTATCAATTCCAAAAAAGTATATTTCTCTAAAATTTAATATGTACACTAAAGATCTGTCTCCATGAAACTAGTTTAAAAATAGCCAATAAAAACCTAAAGTGTTTCTCTATTATTTAAATTCAAAACCTCCTCATAGAGCAAGAGAAGTATGGCTGTGTCCAGTCACTGTGGGGACAATGGGTCTTCATGACAGTCCTTTAAGGATCTTTTCCACAGTACCTTTTTGTGACTGGAAAAACATCACTTGATGACATTTTCTCAATCAAATCAGCTGCCAAACTGGATAAAATCAGCTTCTTACAGAAACCCAGATGCTGCCTCTAACCTAAACTGTGCTCAGTGAGGACATCCCCCGCGCTCTGCAATCAAAGAAATAGCAGTTGATATCTTAATTGCTGCTATCTGGCGGAAAAAGCATACACCTGTTGACAGATTGGCTCAAAACAATTTTAAAAGGAAATTTCAAAAGTAAGACAAGATTATTTTCAGGTCAGCACCACTTTAAACGGGCTACTGAAAGGAAAGCCCAGTGCCCTGATTTGATAGGATGCATTTTGACTGAGCACAGGTGCAAGCCCCTATTGCTCCTGACTGACGTGCGGTCATCACCTACTCAAATGATATCAGAACAGGAAATCCTGCAGAGACCTGCCAGAAATCATCTCACTGGGACAATAGTTCCAGCTTTTTAATAATGCCTGGATAATGTATTTATAAAAGATGATGGAGATTTTCAACCTTGGCAAATGATGCATGTTTATAAATCCATTCTTAAGTAGACACGTATTGTAAACAGGCAGGTCAGCTTAAGAGGGATATCCTGTAACATGTCTTTAATAAATATACAATTAAAGAATAAGCCTTGATGGCTTTTCTAGATAAAATTTTGTTGTAACCACCTTTAAATTCTATAGCTCAGGTTTGCATGTTGCAGCTTCTTCTGACCTCAGGAGAATTACAGTATTCTTTGATTCCAACCCCAAGCATTTATCTCATTCTGCTTTTTCTTGCTTTTCCCAAAGTCTAATTTGGCCAGCTCTATCTACATGTGTTCAGCTTTGCAATGATTTATTTCATATGTTCCTTCTGCTTATTTCAATTTGGCATTTGCTCCTATCATTCCCATATGTCAACAGGTTACTTTGAATTCAGCTGTCTTGCATAGGCCCGCCAAGATAACCATGATTTTCATACTGGCAAAAATGGTTATAGAAAAATAAACTCAGTATTTGAATAAGCTAGTTATTTTTTTAAAGGTCATTTCTAATGAACTCTTAATTCCTGCACAAATTACTCGTGAGAAACTTCTCTTGTCCTGTAGGCCCTAATGCTATCAGCTTCTTCTGTTTCTCAGACAAATTTTCTGTTTTCTTTTTGTTCAACCCCAACTCTCTTCTGAAGAGTGATAATACTTTTGTTTCATAAACACCATCGGCACAAAGCAGAAGTGTACACTAGACAGAACTCTTTTTTTTTTTTCTTTTTTTTTTGAGACAGAGTCTTGCTCTGTCACCCAGGATGGAGTACAGTGGCGCGATCTCAGCTCATTGCAAGCTCTGCCTCCCGGGTTCACGCCATTCTCCTGCCTCAGCCTCCCGAGTAACTAGGACTGCAGGCGCCTGCCACCACACCTGACTAATTTTTGTATTTTTAGTAGAGACGGGGTTTCACCGTGTTAGTCAGGATGGTCTCGATCTCCTGGCCTCGTGATCCACCCACCTCAACCTCCCAAAGAGCTGGGATTACAGGCATGAGCCACCGCGCCAGCCTAGGCAGAACTCTTTATCACCAAATTATATAGATCAGCTTTTTGTCACTATTTTTTTTACATTTATGGATTCCAGTGCAAAGTGCATTTATTCATACACTTCCTTTTATTAAGGACAATTGTTAGGAACCCTTCCTTTTATTAAGATTCAATTGTTTGAACAAGTGAAGAAATACTTTAACACGCCCTTTATTTTAAAAAAGGATATACTGTTACTTTATTTTTTAAAAAGACAAATCATTTAAATATAAAAATGTATTAATTTTACCAACATTTCCTGGAGAAATGATGAGTGATCTTCAAAAGATAGTTCCCATAAAAGTTATAAAGTTAGTACCCTTGTTGGTGCTTCTACAATGATGCATTTGTTTGCCTTATAGAAAGTACCAAGGCTGTGCCAACACATAATAAGAACATCTGGGTGAAAAGTGAAAAAGTCAAACACGATGATGCTTCAGTGGTTGATACTGAGTACAAATACTCCTCAAGTTACAATGGGGGTTACCTTCAGATAAACCCATTGTAAGTTCAAAATATCATAAGTCAAAAGTGTGCTTTTTACTTAGGATATTTTGAACTTACAATGGGCTTATCTGGATAAAGCCCAGTTGTAAGTCAAGGAGCAACTGAATGTGTATCACTTTTGCACCATCATAAAATGGAAAAATCATAAATAGAATCATGGTAAGTTGGGGACCATCTGTTGTCATATTTCAGAAAAAAAGTTTCTCTTTTAACTAATCATTTTGTTATTCAAGCATCTGTATAGGTAAGTTTATATAGCATTTGGTATAAAACACTTTCTATATCCTTTCGTTCCTGTCTTAGTCCATTTGTGTTGCTATAAAGAAATATGTGAGGCTGGGTAATTTATAAAGAAAAGAGATTTATTTGTCTCATGGTTCTGCATGCTATACAAGAAGCATGGTGCCAGCATCTGCTTCTCGGGAGGGCTTCAGGCTGCTTCCACTCATGACTAAAGGCAGATGGGAGCCAGCCTGTGCAGAGGTCACATGGTGACAGAGTGTTAGGTAGGGAGGTGCCAGGCTTTTAAACATGGGAACTAATAGAGTGAGAACTCACACATTACTGCAGAGATGACACCAAGCTGTACATGAGGGATCTACCCCCATGACCCAAACACCTCCCACAAGGCTCCACTTCCAACATTGGAGGTCAAATTTCAACATGATATTTGGAGGGGACAAATGTCCAAACTGTATCAGTTCCCCTAACAGCTCCCCTAACAAGGTCTCTTATTTCCATTTGACAGATGCAATTGAAGCCTATAGAAAGAGTTAGGTTTGATTTCCTCATACCCGATACTAAAGAGTAGTATAGCTGTAGCCTGGTTTGTCACTGCAGCATTCCAACTTAATTGCAGGATTACAGGCAATGAGTATTTCATACAGAGTTGTTTGGTTGCTTTTTAAAAAACAGGGACGTTGGCAGTACTCTTCTCAGCGAACTTGTAGTTTCTTTTCCATGACCAGGGAAGCTTTGCAATCATTTTGATTCCAACATGTTAGCTTGTTAGCTCTTTGACAGCAGACCAACATTGCATTTGAGTTTTCTGTGTTGCTTGTGAATAGTTACTGAAACTGACCTGTTTTTAATGCAAACATTATGTAGACTGCAGCCAGACAATGGAAAGTCTGTTTGCAACCTGACCAGGGCTGGATGCAATCTTTCTGAGTGGGTATCTATCATTTCAGGTGCTGCTGAAGAATTCACTGTAGAATTTTTGTTTTTCAACTGTTTGTTACAATCACATACCAAGTCAAATTTAATTAGTTATATTCATCCAGCAGATGGTACAGTATTCTATAATAAAGTATAAGTTCCTTTACTTAACTGAGTAATGCATTTCATATGACCTCTTTTACAAATTTCAAAACTGATTCTCTTCAAACAGGACTGCACATTATTTGGACGCAGGCCCAAACAGGTTAAAATTGATTTAATACTTTCCCCCCAAAGAACATTATGGAAATGAAAACGAGTCAGCACCGAGTGGCTTATTTCAATGTCTGCTTCTACATAAATTACATCTGCATCTGGAAGAAAGAGGTGGGAGTAAACTTAAATTATGTAGAAAGAAGATTCTGAAACTTTGAATGCAGCATGATATGGTTGTATTTAAGTAAATTCAAATTGTTTCACACTGGAAGAACTTGATGTCCATTATCAGGTTGTGGAAACCAAGTCTTTGATAACATTAACTAGATTCTTCATAAAGATTTTCCTTCCAGAAGCATCAATTAACCTTAACATTAGAATGAGGGCAGGGGTTGTGGTATAACTACCTTTATATACTAATTGTATAAGTATCTTTAGCACCCAAACACAATTTTTGGATAACATGGGACAAAATGGAATATTGCACCCTTGGTAAATCTTGAGTTACTGCTGCTCTTCTCACCTAAGACTCAAAACAGATTCCATTTCTCCCCCAAACATTGTGTCATCGTTTCAGATATTTGCCCACTTTTTCCTCTGATGGAATCTGGAATATGGTAAATTTCTCTAGCCTGTATCAACAACCCATTAAAGGGTACAAACTGATTCACTGAATGCTAGAAGTTGAAGAGATTTTATCCATCTTTTATTCCAGAGCTGACACATATTCTACACATATACTGCAGTTACTCCACTCCAGTGCTTATCGTAGACAGTAGTGATTGATCATGGTACACACGGCTTCTCAGCCTTCTTTGACAAAGGCTTCTAGTGATGAACTGAATCCTATTTGCCATCCTCTTCTAGTCTAATCGTTTTATTATGCTGATAAGAAAGTTTAGGCTCAAAGACTTGGAGTAGAATCCTTTAACTCAATCACAGAGGTAGCTAATGTCCAGGATGAGACTAATAAATATCTTAACTCCTGGCCAGATATTTTTCCTGCCACATTATATTACATTCTGTGTGAGAAAAGTCTAGGGTATAGACTGTCTAGGAGGGGAAATAAAAACAACTTCTCCTCTACTCTGTTAGGTGCAGTGGCTGAAGCCTGTGAATTAAACTGACAAAAGACAGATTGACAGGAGAAAATGTACAATTTTATTGATGTTAATATTTTTGTGTGGTGGGGAGGAGCTTCACAAGAAAGCAGTGAAAACTCAAAAAAGCAATTAGACTTTGGGGTTCATGTACCATTTTAACAAAGGGTGGTAAGTTGTGGAGGAATGACTAGACAAAGGAAGGGGGATTTGGGCTTCTGGCTGGGATAAATTGTGGGAAAGTGACAAGGAAATATATGGGGGAAACTAACGGAAGATATGACTTATTTTGATAAGGTTTGTTTATGCACATTCATGCTCATATGACCCCCCATCCCTGTGATAAAATTTGGTCTCCTCTTCCTGGTACAGGGAGGTAACTTCCTTGAAGGCAAATGCTATGCACATAATGTGGGGGGCACAGAACTTTTCCTGAATCTTTTGTTTCTCAATTGCCTTCAGCTCAAAATAATTCTTAAGCGAAAGTGCCATATTTTAAGATGGCATATTCTGAGCCCCTTCTAACTATAGAGGGTAAGAATATGTAACAACTATGGTTTCACATTGCTCATCTAATTTAATAAATGTAAGGGCAAGGCACTAAGCAATCCCTCCAGGCATTTACCAGCTCCCATCCCCACTGTAATATCTAAGAGTCCTTTCCAGGCCCTACCACTTGAGGTTTCTACATGATAGCTTTACCAGTCCTCTTTAAATTATCTAATATTTTAGGACTTCTTTTAGTTTGTAAATAGAAAAGATCCTATTTGTCCGAGCCTTAGGCATATCTCCTATGGACTTGTGTGCTGAAGTTCTACTATCAGGTGGTTTCGTTACTCTCATCTTACTGGATTAGAATGTACTATACGTGCTGGTCTCTGAGAAACCCTAGAAACCCTAGTGAAGTAGAAAAAAAAACATGCCTTTAAAGAGAGAAAGATTTTGAATCTAGTTACTAGCAGCAAGACCTTAAAGAAAGCCATTATACTAAGTTTCAATGCACATGGGTCACCCAGGACAGAATCAAGTCTCAGTGAATGGTAGTAGTTTTGATAATGATAGGGATGATAATGATTACTGGTGATGTGCTCCTCTGTTTTATATAGTTTTCTTCAAAAGAACCTTGTTAACTCTCTATAGATTCTTCTTTCCCCTCTTTCCCTTAAAAACACTTTAGACACACTCGTACTTAAATATCTGCAATATTCACTTACTTGGAAAAGACATCAAGTCCTGGCTTAATGAGATTTATTGACTTCATTACATGCTTAACATATAACATTCAAAAATATTTTCCTCCAGGCATCAGTCTCTAACAAGACAAACTATCACCTGGTATCTAAAGGTTTTACTGACCTCTGTGATAGTACTTAACATTGCCTGTTTACCTATATCTCATCCCTCTGAACAAAAACTCCTTTGGATAAGGACTGATGTCTAGTTTATATTGTCTTGTATCCTTAGTGCTTGGCTCACAGTAAGCTATTATTTCCAAATAGATAAATAGATTAACATTATCTGGGATGTAAGATAGGTAAAAATAAGGGATATATTCCCCAGTCATTATAATTTCAGTATAATAAATATTTAAAATAATTTAGACAAAGAAGTGGAAGTTACTTATTTTAACAGTGATTAATCTGAAGCTCTTTAATTAACCCTTTTCCCTTTGAAACACAAATACCTGATATAACATGTTCCCATTTGGATGCTGTCTTTGTTTGTTTCATGTTGTTGTGACAGAATACCACAAGCTGGGTAATTTATAAAGAAAAGAAATTTATTTATTATAGTTCTGGAGCCTGGAAAGTCCAAGAGTGAGGGACCTGTGTCTGGTGAGGGCCTTCTTGCTATGTCATCCCATGGTGGAAGGGCATGAGAGTGAAAGAGCAGGCCAGCACAAGTGGGGCTAACTCGCTTTTATAACAACTGCATTTTAACAACAGTTAACCCACTCCTGCAATAACACCATGAATTCATTTATAAGCACAGAGCACTCATGATCTAGACACCTCTTATTAGATCCCACTTCCCAACACTGTTGCACTGGAGATTAAGTTACCAACACATGAACTTTGGGGGGACATATTCAAGCCACAGCAGATGTATTTACACAGAAAGATTCATTTTCTTTTCTAAGTGAAAAGCTAAAGTATTGGATGATTAATATTTCTAGAAAAATATTTCTATAGACATTTTCATCTCTGAATAAGCATTCATCTTCAAAAGTATGTTTTTAATAAGAAGGAAGGCTGGTTCATTTATTTTATAATATTTCTTGGTAAAAGATCTCCAGAGGTTTTTAAAATATCTATAGGGCCCATTCTAGGCAAACACATGTCATAGGGAAAGTTTGTTTATACTTTTCTACACATAGGACCAATCTCAGCAGCAATAAAAGTAGATGGCATGATTGTAATGTGACTGAGGAGATTCCAGGAAGGGCTCCAGTGAACTTCCCTATGTAGTGAACTGGTAACAAAATTCCCATTAGACCTCCATCATTTTAACAAGCTATTTATCTGGCTGCTACAATGCAGACAGCTCTGTTCAGGGAGGCAAATATTTATTACGTTCCTCCTCAGGAAAAAACATTTTTATTCAGGGAGTGTTAAAAATCATGTCAGAGTGAGAGAAGATATTTCATATGTGTGTGTGTGTGTGTGTGTGTGTGTGTGTGTGTGTGTATTTTTTGTGTGTATATATATACATAGTGTACATATATATAATATAATATATATATTCAATGAGTGACTACCTGTCCTAAAAATAAGTAAGGAAAACATAAACAGCCCCAATGATAAATGTACAAATTACTTGAATAGACATTTACAATACAGGCTGCTTTGGTCATGCTTAGCACAGTTTCATAGGAAACCGTCAAAATAATTAAATTTATTTCCAACTAAAGAACTGAGCCTGGCCAGGCGCGGTGGCTCACGCCTGTAATCCCAGCACTTTGGGAGGCTGAGGCGGGTGGATCACGAGGTCAGGAGATCGAGACCATCTTGGCTAACACAGTGAAACCCCATCTCTACTAAAAATACAAAAAATTAGCCAGGCATAGTGGCAGGCTCCTGGACTCCCAGCTACTCGGGAGGCTGAGGCAGGAGAATGTTGTGAACCCGGGAGGCGGAGCTTGCAGTTAGCCGGAGATGGTGCCACTGCACTCCAGCCAGGGCAATAGAGCAAGACTCCGTCTCAAAAAAAAAAAAAAAAAAAAAAAAGAACTGAGTCCCAGAACACATTCCAAGAATAATTATATAAATACAAAGATATCCAACACATAAAGTTTAATTAAAATTAAATTCACACTATCATTCAATTAAAAATGACCGTGTGCAAAGAGGCAGAAAAAAAATCCAAAATAAAGAGACCAATCAATAAAAACAGATTGAAAAATTACTTATAGTAAAATTACAACATTAAAATTGGTATTAAAACCATATTTTATATATTTAAAAAGGTAGAGGAAAACATGGACATGGTAAAGAAGAACATGAAAGATACCATAAAAATGACCAATATGGAAATTCTAAATTTCTAGAGATAAAATATAAAATTTCTAGTAGGAAAAATAAACCTGATGGGATTAATGGCTGATTAGATGTAGCAGAAGAAACGATTAGTAAGCTCAGAATATTTTAAATTATTCAAAATAAAACACAGAAGTATGAATTTTAAAAAAGAGTATCAATAAGCTGTGGCAGAAGTTCAAACAGCTTAACACACATGTAACTGAAGTTCCTGAAGGAAAGGAGAGATAGGGAAGCCAGAAAAAACATATATAGATAAAGAAATAATGGCCCAGAAAGTGTTCCAATTTGATTAATAATAAACCTACAGTTCCAGGAAGTACAACAAACCCCAACACAAGAAATATGAAGAAATCACCGAGACACATCATCAAATAACTTAAAATCAGTGACAAATTGAAAACTCTTAAAAGTAGCTAGAAGGAAGCTAAAGTAAAAATAAAGAAAATTATATACATAAGAACAAGATATCAGTGGTTTTCCTGGGGCAAGGGGAGAAAAAGAGGAAGAGGATGCAGCGATTACAAAATGGCAGGAGGAAACTTTTAGGGATGATGCCTATGTTTGTTACTTTGATTATGTTGATGGTTTTACAAGTGTATACGTTTGTCACAACTCATCAGATTGTACATTTTAAATATGTACCCTAATAAAGCTATTAAAAACTCCACAATAAAATACTACTGCACAGACACAAATGGATAAAGTTAAAAAGCTGACAGTTCTAGGTACTGGACACACTTTTATGAGAGTATAAATCAACAAACCACTTTGAAAAATTCTTTGACAGTATCTCCTAAAGCTGAACAAGTGCATACACTATGAAACAACAACTATACGCCTAGTAGATAGCTAGGAGAAATATTTACATGTGTTTACTGAACTAAATGCACAGGTAGCATTGGTAATAGCCACCTGGGAAACATTTCAACATCCAACAAGAATAAAATGGGTAAGTAAAGTATGGTATATCCATACTGTGGACAACTATGAAGAAATAATCAGATAAAACTACTGCTGAAACTAATCATCTGGATAAATCTTAGAGACAATGTTTAGCACTCACAAAAGAGTATATATCATATGGTTCCATGTATACAAGGTTCAAAACTAATTTGGGTGTTTGAAGTCACGGTGATTGGATCCCCTTCGTGGGAGTGCCTGGGAGGGGGCTTTAGGAGGCAGCTGAGGTGCCGAAAACATTACATTTCTTGATGTGGGTGCTGGTAACACAGGTGTGTTCAGTTTGCAACCATTCTTCAGTACACTTTGCATGCTTTCCTGTATGTATGTTATACTTCAATATACTTTAAAATGTGTAGTTTTGGCTAAAAAAATATAAGAAACTAAGAGCTCCAAACCAAAAAGATATACATTAAACATTAGGAAGTTTTTGCTTATGATGGGGAGAGGAAAGAGAGTGGAGAATGGAGATACAAGGGGAAGAAAGAGAGAGAGACTGATTTAACTATGGCTGATCGCCTTATGTAAAATAATTATGAATATTTATAGAACGCATTATTGTGTTTGAAGTTGTATGTACCAGACATTCTTAGTTTTTCAGGCCCAAACCTATTCTTACCTAAACTTCTATCCCTGCTACACTTCTCTCACCCAACCCTTTTATTAACTGCCCCGTCACCACCATTAACAACAACTAGACAGGTCAACATTAATTGATTGGTAATAAAATTAGATAATAGGCAGAGTCTACACATCTTTTAAAGACATGCCGTAAATTCTCCTCCCAAGGTGGCAGTATCCCTAGCATTCCCATGAATTTAATTGTATCATTTATCCTCAAAACCCATAGTTTCATACCCTATTTTTATAAAATGTTTAACCTGCACAATAGGTCTCTCAACTTAGTATTTCATTTAATAAGCAGCCCACGAATTATGTAGGAAATCCTAAAGAACATTCCAAATTCCTGAAGAAAGTTTAACTGTGAGCCACATAAAATCTGTAAAATTCACAACAAGAAAAAGAGCTTTTGAATCCAAAATCTAAATAAATATTTCCTAATGAGGAGAATGAAAATATTTATAACCACCTAAGTTTCTAGAATACTCTTAAATGTTCAAATGTGGAGGGTCCTGTTTTAATTTCTACTCCATTCTCTCCTTTCCATAACCTTCACCTTTTAAAAATATTATCAATTATCAATTGGAACAGTGAACAAGAACTAGAGTAAAAAATTGATTGAAATTTTGCTGCATAGAAATTCAGCTGTGGGCTGGGCACAGTGGCTCACACCTGTAATCCCAGCATTTTGGGAGACCAAGGCCGGTGGACCACTTGAGGTCAGGAGTTTGAGAGCAGCTTGGCCAACATGGTGAAACCCTGTCTCTACTAAAAATACAAAAATTAGCCAGGTGTCATGGCAAGCGTGCCTGTGATCCCAGCTACTTGGGAGGTTGAAGCAGGAGAATCTCTGGAACCCAGAAGGTGGAGGTTGCTGAGATCACACCACTGAACTGGGTGAAAGAGTGAGACTCCATCTCAAAAAATGAAAATAAAAGGAGAAATTCAGCTGTGAATTTTTTTTTATTGAGTATCATATAGTTTAAAAAGCTTAAAAGAAGAAACTATTATATCAAAGTTTGAAACGAGGAGAAAAGACTCCTATATTCTGACATAATCAGATTATGTATTACAACGTCTTTAATCCTCTAAAGCAAAGCAAAAAGTGACACTAAAGAAAGATGTTTGCACAGAATTCCATGGGAAATTTAGCTTTCTAAGTAATAGGTTTTTATAATGGGGAGACACTATATTAAATTACTCCAGTGTTCACCACCAGGTGTGTAATACATATTCGATATTATAAAATCAGTTTAAATGTGGGTACTAAGTTACAGTCCTGAAAATATAGATGCCTCTACCTTTGAATCTAAGCCCTCTGTATAGATGCCCACCATTTAGTCTGGCTGTAGATGTCAAATGAAAACATTTTAAATGTGTTAAAATGAAAGATTACCTAGTGGTAAATGAGGTAATCTTGTCCCTGTTCTTCTTTGTCATTGATAATTAAAAACTAAACATCTTGCAAGATGATACTTTTAAAATGACTTCCTTACACCCACACAGAACATCTATTAATTCAGCTCAGGACACTTCATGATTTTATGAGCTCAAAAAAAGCAGTAAAGATATATAAACAGCATAAAACCTAGGCTTTATGCAGTGTTTAGCAAACCACAATTGTTCTCTCCTGACATTTACTTCCTACCTTATATATCTTCTAATCCTTGATGTGCACATTGAAAATGTCAACAAGTTCTCTAAAGTTAATCATGTCTTCGTGTTTGAATTAGATAAATTTTGTTTATTTTCCTGAATCACACATAATTCACGAAATTCCAAACTTCTCAAAGTTTCTCAAGTTCATATTAAGTATCTAGAAACATAAGACAAAAACACATAAACTCAACCTAGTAGAAATAACTTTCTCTTTTGTGAGAAAGGCTTTCTGGCAAGCTAGGAAGAATTCTTCAAAGCAAACATGCTTTCCCACATACAGCAGAATTATTACACTTTGGTTGGGTTGTTCCTTTGTTGGAGTGTGATAACTTATGAAAGAATTAAGAACTCTCAAAGAAGAGCAGTAAGAAGAAAGCCCACTAGTGAAGAAAGATCAATACATATGGACACTCTCCCGTGAAGACAGTATGAGAAAGGAAGATAGAAAAACAAACTTAGGCTCTAACCACCATCAAACTCTCTGATCATTGCACACTTCGATCTGTCCAATGTGTCAAACAAAGCAAAGGGATGTGTTCATCCTGCCTTACTTCTGAAGTTATGAAGGTAGTCTGCTTTTAAGCTATTATTTAAGGGTGAATGCTAATTTATTCCCTATCTAAAGAATCTAATTTACATCATGATTATTTTTTATGCTGTAAAGGTAGATAATTGTTTTCACCTTTTCCCTATCTTAACTCAGCTTTGTAACACCTTTTCTGGTTTGCATAGATGAGTTTGTCATTAAAAAATACTTTTCTAAGAAGTTATCTATCCAAATTGCAAGTTAACGTGTATAAAACATGTGCTACTATTAGAACTTAGAGAATTGTTTTATCTATATTTGACTGTCATAAATTTTACAACATTTATTGACTGAGTGTAGACTATCCTGGACAAATTGTAGGTGCCCTCTCTTTGGAGCAGAAGATTGCAGATGGTAGACACAGACACACACAGACACACACACGCACACACACACAAGCCTCCATTGAAAAAGTTAATCATAATTGTAAAAAATTACTTTCCAGCATCAATTTCAATTCTCTGAAACTTTGAGTTACCTATTCAACACTTTTCCTTTACAAACTGGTAATTAGGAAAAAAAAGAATATATATACAATGTGTCATACTTTCTATTTTTAACATTCGTTGAAAAACACAGCCAAACTCATTAATTTAGATGAAAGGAAAATGTCTATGCTATTGTTTATCTGTGAAAGAACTGGAAATCTCCATTTAAATTCAAAAGATATTAGCGACATAAAATGAAGTTTCATTCATTAGATTCACATTTCTTTCTCCAATTGTATTGCAATCTATTTAGGACCATCTCTGTACTTTTTGTTTTCTTATTACTGGCATGAAGCCATTTTTCATGGAATATAATTCTCCATAGTATTTGTTTTGAGAGAATGAGTAGCGTGTGTTCCTGAGATTTAATAGGAGCAGTTTTCACATGTTTTGGGTGCATTGTATCATAATATTAAGAGCATAAACTCTGGAGTAAAAATGTCAGAGTTTGAACTTTGGCTCTAATACTTAACAGCTATGTAATTTTGGGTAATATATGTAATGTCTCTGGGCTTCTGTTTCCTTATATATAAAATGGATAAAATAATAATACCTAGATCAAAGTACTTTTAAGAGGATTAAATGGGTTCATTTGTATAAATCACATAAAAAAGTGCGCAGCACATAGTAAGTTCTCAATAATTTTGAGTAGTATTTTTATTGTTTATACATTACTTATATTTTTATTAAGGATTATATTCCTTTATGTTTACATTGGCAGCTGTAAACAGTATTTAGAGAGTTAACTCTCTACTTGGGAAAATATGTCGATGAACAAGAGATGCAATGTAGGATATTGAGTGTGGACTCATAACAGACAAAAATAAAAGAAAAAAATAAGCTAAACAAAATCTGAGGAAGAAATAGATGGAAATCAAGAGAAGTGGAGTGGGCAAGAGTGGAGGTAAGAAGGGAGAAATGCAAAAACATACAGGGTGGAAGATCGCGTAGCATAGCAAGGGAATCTTGTACAAGATGGCAGAAATCGCAGTGAGACAGTGATGTTTAATATCCATTAATTGTTATTACAGAGTTGTGCTGCAAAGATTAAAGTCTTGAAAACACAGGTACACTTTGTTCTGTTATGAGACCTACAGAGTGCATGAATGCTGGCTGACTTTGTGCTTGCGCCAAAAAAAAAGTTGCGGCCAGAAAACAGTAGTAATACTTCATTTTTATATCGCTTCAAAATTTTCAACATGTTTTCAAGTGCACCCATTGCCAGTCATTGACCAGGCATTTCATGCTTGCAGAAGCACACACAATAAGGTTTGCTTATGTATAGCTTGCATTTTAGAATTTCCAAAGCACTTCCACCAGACCATCTCATTTAATCCTAAAAATCTTGCTCTGGAGGAGGCAGGGCAGAGTTTGTTCTCATTTTACAAATGAGAAGTTCCAAGAAGCTCTCATTTTACAAATGAGAAGTTCCAGAGAGGTATGTGACTTTCCCGAAGGCAAGGTAAGTTATTAGTAGAACTGGGACTAGCCTCAGAAACCTAGGTTTCTGAACTCCTAATTGAGGTCTCTTTTCTTTTGATGGTATCCATACTAGAGATAATATGCGAGATGACTTTAGGTGGCATGTAACCTTGGCTCCTTTGACATCCCAGGCACCATTCAATATGCTATCTGTTCATCATGTACACTAACCCAGCAGCATGCTGAAAGGCACCACTGGATAGACTTGGCAGCCTTCTGGGTTTCACAAGTAGTGAGACATCCTTACCTAAAACTGTAGCTGTGAATAGTGTCACAGATGTTTGTGGATCATCAAATATGGAACAGCAGGTGACACCACTTTTACATATGGCAGAAGTATGAAAGTTCTTCTTAAAATAAGTGTACTTAACAAAAAGAATGAGTAGATTTTAAATAAAATATTAAATATAGTTCAGAAATTTTACATGGAAAAATCATGAAAGTGTTATCATAACAACTATGATTTAGAAAACACCATTCTATTCCATATTGCTTTTGGATTAGGGTCCCTGATTTAAGTTTCCCCAGCTTGTAAATTACTCTAGAATTAATTCCTGTAAACTGTGTTATTATATTTCAATTAGTCTATTGGGTGGGTGTATTTAACAGTTATCTTACGTTTGAGGATTCATTTTTCAATCATCAGCTTCAGGATAAACCCTGGTGGGAAGAAATGCCAGTTACTAGGAATAAAATGAGATGGTCTCTACATGCTTACATCTAATAGTTATAGATTCTAGCCTAGAATCAATTCCAGTGGGTGCAGTGAATATTCCCCATACAACCACAAATTTGTTGTCTGTATTATTACATCCATCACATTCTCATCTTTGCAGCTCATGGAAATGTGTGCACAATAAAAGAACAATCCTCTTACCTTTTATACATATTTAATACATGAATGTATAGTTTTACAGATAACACGGCTTATATGGTACAATATTGGTCAAACAGCAAATAATTCTGAGCTCCATGAACGAGTTCATCTCCAACTTCCCATTTTTTTAAAACACAAGTGTAACATCAAGATTGTACTTAAGGTGACTTTGATTCCCACATCTAATATGAATACCTACCTACATTCTTTCTCAAAATATAGCTTTCTCCAGGCTGGGATGCTTTGTGATTGCAAAGATGCCTTTTAGCTCAAGTGCATTTGGGCGTAGAGGAGAGAATCAATACAATTCTCTAGGGCATATCCCATGACATAATGGAATTCAATTTCTGACTTAATTAAGCTTGGATGCAGGGGTCTGAAGTTTTTACTGCTTTAGGTTTATTGTTTACTAGTTTGCAGATCTTTGAGATCTATGCTAGAAAATAATTGCAGGAAAAGTAGGAGGAATGCCCTATCATTCCAAAAAAAATCATTTAACAAGGTCGATAGGATGGCATGTCTTTAAAAAAAAAAGTTGTGAGAATAGTTTGTGTATAGCTTTGGTTCTGGGTTCAAGAATAAAACTCTCTTTACTCTACATAACATAAAGACAATTCAGAGAAAGGAAGGCCAGCAGAGACCAAAGCAAAAATCAAGAGCTTTGAAATAAGAAAGACCTGGGCTCACATCTTTATTGGAATTTTGATTTCTCCTGTGACTCTTATTTTCTTTTCATAAAATAGCTCTTGAGCAAGATGAGCTATATTGCTGCTTACTCAGATCATTCTGTGGCATTTTTTCTATTCTCCTATTAACAATAGGACAGATCTGAAAGGCTCTAGGTTTTATGTAAGGGGTTCAGTTCCAGTTTCTTCTGTCTTCACATGCTAGAAGAGTCATCTTTTGTGTCCTTAAAAATATTAGAACTCCAGTGTCCCAAACCTAGAACAGGATGCAACTCCCCCAGAAGTGGCCAGAATATAAATGTATTTAATCCTTCTGGCTTAGATGTTTCACTTTTTTTTTTCTTTTGAGCTAACGTATGTAATTAAAATGTCTTTATTTAAATATTTTATCTTTATCTTCTAGTCATGATTTTTTAATGTGTTTGTGGTAAGAAGCTGAATATCTAGCAAGCTTAGTTTGCCATAATGTCAGGCATCCCCTGTTAGAGACATTTTGAGACCTCTGGAGTCATGTTTGTACATCTCTGCTTTTATAATTTTATTACTGTCTGTTTTGTGGTAAGCCTAAAATATTCAGTTTCTTGGGGAACGTGTGTAAAAAACTGGAATCTCTCTGGTTTTAAGGGAATGAATTCATTGGTAGGAAATGAAATTAAGGCAGTATTTGGACCCAATTGTTTAAGAAATCACCAAATATTTTTGCCTATATATTAAAGAACAATGAGCCTAAGAAATTTATTGTAGAATATTAATAAGGAAATTATGTGTTTCTTAAATTAAGTATCTTCTGGTATAACGAATGATAATTCAAAAAATACATTCTAAAGATGAAGGATTTTTTTAAATTTTTGTAAATAATTCAATTTTTGGAAAAACCTATTTTATGATGGAAAACATGGACTAGAAAATGCAAAATCAAAAATATGCATATTTCTGGCCAGGTGTGGTGGCTCATGCCTGTAATCCCAACACTTTGGGGGGCTGAGGCGGGATGATCACTTGAGGTCAGGAGTTTGAGACCAGCCTGGCCAACATGGTGAAACCCTGTCTCTACTGAAAACACAAAAATTAGCTGGGCATGGTGGTGCACGCTTGGAATCCCAGCTACCTGGGAGGCTGAGGCAGGAGAATTGCTTGAACTCAGGAGGCAGAGGTTGCAGTGAGCTGAGATCATGCCACTGCACTGCAGCCTAGGTGACAGAGTGAGACTGCGTCTCAAAAAAAAAAAAAGCATATTTCTAATAACATTATTGAAATAATTTTGGTATTACATTATATAATCTATTTAAAATTTAACAATTTTTTTTCCGGAAAATGTCATTCAACACTATAGAAATATCAAATAAGCCTTTCTTTAAACAGAACATTAGCCTCATAGCATATTTTTAGCTATATTCTCCTTGATTTTCTTCTGAGTAGATTCACTCTTATCTGTGTTTGATGCACGCCAATAACATCTGGTTGGGTTGAAAATTGAAAATCACTTCCGTTTATAATATCTAAAATAATCAGTGAGGCTGATTTAATAACAAAGTGACTAATCATTTTGGCATTCATAGGAATAGCTATTTCTGCTGGATCAATACGTTGTATTAACTACCTTTGAGACTCAGTTCTCATTTTCTTAGTAATAATAGAGTTTAATAGAGTGAAATCTTTATATTTTATTTTTCACTGAAATTTCACAAATTATAGAAGCTGTTCTTTGCATAACAAATGGCATTGTAATGCTCCGATTATCTAAATGCAACCATCCTTGGGTATATGCAGGGAATTGATTCCAGGGCGCTGGCCTGAGTATACCAAAATACAAGCATACTCAAATCTTGCAGTCAGCCCCATGGAACCAAAGTATAAGAAAAGTCAGCCTTCCATATAGGTAAGTTCCATATCCCACAAATACTGCATTTTTGATCTGTGTTTGGCTGAAAAACATCGTGTATAGCTGGAACCGTGTAGTCCAAACCCATGTTGTTCAAGGGTCAGCTGTAGTATCATAGGTTTAGGGAATTAGATTTGTACATTCACCACAAGCCTGTGGCATCATTTAACATGTAAGTCTGCAATTATCCTCTGAATTTTGAATGTATAGATGTTTGTTGAGGCTTTCAAGTCTACGTTGACATCTCTTTGCTCCAGGTTGTGTGCACTGATCAAATAATTGAAAATATTTTTAAATATTCATAACATTTTACATTATAAAAACTCAACTTCAGAGTAACATGTATTATTTAAAAATAAGACACTAGTTAATACATCCACCATCTCACATATTTAAACTTTTTTATGATGGGTACATTTAAAATCTACTTTTTTAACAATTTTGAAATATACAATACATATTACTAACTATAATTCCCATGCTGTGCAATAGATTACTAAAATGTATTCCTCCTGTCAAACTGAAACTTTGTACCCTTTGATCAAAATCTCCCCTTTCCCCACCCCACCCACTCAGTCTCTGGTAACCTAACATTCTACTCCCTACTTCCACGGTTTGACTTTTTTAGATTTTACTTATAAATGAGATCAATGTTCCACGATGTATACATATATCAAAACATCATCCTGTACCCCATTATAGATATAATTACTTGTCAATTAAAAATTATATTAAAAATAACACACTAACTGTGACTTGCATAGTAATCATTAGCAATGGAGAATTTTACATTCAACTAATGAGAGATATATTTGCCTGTCAAAACTCTGTCTTTCTTAGCGTGTTGGCAGCTGGTGGTTTCTTGGTTATGATTGTGTTTTCCTGGTAACGTCAATTGGTTGTGCCACTGCAATTACATTTTCTTGCTTTATTTGTGACCAGTGGTGTGCATTTGTGAAGCACAGCTGGTGTTCTAGTTAGTGACCATAAAAGGGTGTTTTTTTTTTAAGAAGCTAACTAGCTCTTAAGGCAATTTTATTCTGTTGTAGGGACCTCATAAACACCACATTCACCAACTAAACCAACAAACGCATGAATAATCCCCATGCCCTGTTAATGATGGAAAATAGAGGTTAAAATTTCTGTTTTTACATTTCTGTTTGCCCTATGCAGGAGTGGAAATGTAAAGGAAGCAACATGGAAATTTATATTTTTTGGCTGTGTCACTGATGGTTACCTTCTTCAGTTTTATTTGAATTTGTGCTTGTATAAAATGGGGATCTCATTTAGAAGATGGAGTAATGTCATTTAAGTGTTAAGATTTTGACTGTTTTATCCATGTTTTTAGTTAGAACTTGTGTGTGGCAGATGTTTCTTTTGTTTTGTTTTTTGAGACAGAGTCTCGCCCTGTCACCCAGGCTGGAGTAAAATGGCCCGATCTCAGCTCACTGCAACCTCTGCCTTGCAGGTTCAAGTGATTCTCCTGCCTCCGCCTCCTGAGTAGCTGAGATTACAGGTGTGCACCACCACACTTGGCTAGTTTTTGTATTTTTAATAGAAATGGGGTTTCACCATGTTGGTCAGGCTGGTCTCGAACTCCTAACCTTGTATTCTGCCCACCTCGGCTTCCCAAAGTGCTGGGATTGCAGGCGTGAGCCACCACACCAGGCCACAGGTGTTTTATAGAGTGGTTTTCCCAATGCAAAAGCAGTCAGGTTCAAAAAAAAAAAAAAAAAACCAAGTTAAAGGACCAAGGAGTTCACCCCTGAAGCCAGATTTCTGTACCAGAAGGTAGCCCACAAGAAGCCATGTTCAAATGGGAAACAATGGGAGAAAATGCTTAAAGTTAGAAATGGACCAGGGGAAAATTAAGAATAACTCAAAAGCTAAAGTTTTAATTCAGAACCGATTGATTTTTGGGGAGGTGGTGGCTGGTGGTAGAGCGGTGGCATAATTTGAGCCAAAAGTATTAGTGGAAAACAATCATTTACTTCAAAATAGTAAGTATTCAATAAATAAAATGATATTAGACTTCAAAGTAAAAAGCTCAAGATATGACCTTCTGCTCTTCCCTTTTTAAAAATGGCACTAGACCATTTTCAAGAGCTGTTTGTACCTCAATGTCTTTAATTCTAAAAATCGTAATAATAAACTAACTGCCTTAATATTGTGAGAACAAGCTGGTGTATTAGTCTTTCTCACATTGTTATAAAAAAACTACCTGAGACTGGGTAATTTATGAAGAAAAGAGGTTTAATTGACTCACCGTTCTGCAAGCTTAACAGGAACCATGACTGGGAGGCCTCTGGAAACTTACAGTCATGGTGAAAGGCGAAGGAGAAGCAAGCACATCTTACTATGGCAGAGAAGGAGAAAGAGAGAGTGAAGGGGAAAGTGCCACACACTTTCAAACAACCAGATCTCATGAGAACTCACTCACTATCACAAGAACAGTGAGGGGGAAGTCCGCCTCCATGATTCAATCACCTTTCACCACGCCCTCCCCCAACACATGGGGATTACAATTCAAGGTGAGATTTGGGTGGGGACATACAGCCAAACCATATCAACTGGAAAATGTACTTATTCTGTAATGGTGCTCAGTAAATTATTGTCATATTTTGATTTCTCAAATTGATTGGGTATTTACATATAACAATAAATTTATTAAACCGATATATTAGTTTCATCAATTATTGAAGCAACATTTTCTTGTAACATAATGAGACTAGAATTTGACCCCAGTTATATTGATTCTTCCATCATTGTATTAGTTTTAGACAGTGATTCTTAACCTTGATGAACAGTAGAATTATTATATGAGCTTTTAAAAAATGTTCATGCCCAGCTTCTATTCCAGAACAATGAATTCAGGTTTGGGAATAAGACCCAGGCACCAGCATTTTAAAAATTCCTCCAGGTTTTCAATGTACAATAAGAGTTAACAATTACATTTAGGGAAACTAACCTGTAAACAAGTTGATAATATACTTGTGTTCGCTGGGCTAGTATACCATAGTTTTCTCATTAATGTCTTATTCTGAGAAACTGTCTATTGAAGGATGAGAATCAGGATAAGAAAGCTCCAATCCCTTGAAATGCACTTTGGGAAATGTTATGCAAATCTCATGTTGCCAAACCTCAAGAGGCATCCAAGATTGGCAAATTCTTCTGATATCAATTGAAACTGCATTATTTTCTCTTTCTTGGAAAAAGAGTTTGGAAAGTATCCATGTAGCATGTAGTCTACCACAAAACTCTAGCAATAATTCAGTCACTTTATTAAAAGAAAAATACTTCAGCTACACACATTTTTCTATAGACATGATATTTTTAGAATTTTCTTTTGGCAAATATAATATGGCATCAATGTACAACCACCTTCTACTTTCGTCCCATACAGAATTCAAATAGATCCATTTTCTCTTTATCTTTTAATGCAGGCAGTGTGGGATGAAGGACAAGACTGCCTATAAATTATGAGCATTGTGTGCATATGCCATTGCTTAAGTACCAGAAGACTTGTTCCAGGCCTGGAATACCAGCTGAGGCTAAACAACGGGCAAGGCACCAATAAATCCCTAGACAATTTGGAGCAATCCAACCTTTCTGCATAAATCACTGAGTGAAAGCTGTATGCAAGTCTTGATAAAACAAACAAAAAAACAAGCTGGAAAAATGACTGAGGTGGTCACCCAGGGTATATTGCAATTGTGTTTTGGGGTAAGAGATCAAGGTATGAAAAATGAGATTCTTTCTCCATAAATTTAATCCTCTAGGGCATTGTTACCTAATGTCTGGTCTATAGATGAGTGGTGGTCCATGAATCATTTGTTGCCAACCTGAGATAAATACAGAAATTAAAGGTAAACATTTAGAAACCATATAGCAACATGACATAGTAATTTTGTAACTGTTGAATCTAATAAAAAATTGGACTTGTATTTTTATGTCTTTTTTCATTTCATTTTTCTTGTAATTTCTTCTTATGTTTTGCAAAAAATCTCAGTCAATGACACATTAAAAATAAAAAATAGAATGGCTCCTTCACCACAGAGTTCTACTCTAGTTTACCTCAATAAGCAATTTTGTAAAAGCTAGTGCTTAAATCACAATGTTAAAGTGAAAAATAGAAAGATGGTGAAACGAAAGCTAGATAACAATTATGTAAATTACACTGCCTCGGTCCTTAGCAGGACACACACAGCCTTTCCGGTCCAGTCCCTCCTTACCTGTCTTCATATCTTCACCTTCTGCCCTTACTTCCAATACACATGAAATTCAAACCACAATCATCTACAAACAGATTTTAGTTGTTTATATACACTTTGTCTTCCTCAAAAAACATTTTAAATAACAACTTATACAGATATTCAAAGTTCACCAAATTTGAAGGAGAAATTTAAAAAATTCAAGTGACCGCAAAGTAAAAATATACCAATTTCTCAAAAAAGTTTATTTTACCTGACAGTTACACCAGAAAGAAATTTCTCCCCTAGAAACCTACAGAGAAAATATGATAGTATAATAGATGAACATTTTGTAATGTGACAAATATAGCAATTTGAATAAATGGCTACAAATCCTTTGACATTCCTGATACATAGATAGGGTTTATGAGATCTCTCCTTCAACTGGAACTGTTCCAACAAATAGAATATGGGGAAAGTAACACTCTACAACATTTGAGGCTACTTCAGGAAAGACTATGCAGCTTCCATCTGGTTCTCTTGGAACTCTTGTTGTTTAGGGTGTTTCCTCTAAGGGCACTTCCTCTTGGAATCCAGCCTCCATGCTGGGAGATGCCCAGACAACCTAGAAGATTTCTGTGTAGGTGCTCTGGTTGAACCCAGCCTTCAAATTATCTCAGCCTAGGTGCCACACATGTGAGTAAAGGAGCTTCCAGATGATTTCAGTCTCCAGGTATTTAAGCTACCTCTATCCATTTGAGTCACGCCCAGCTGCTCTAATCTTCCTAGGGGAGTACCCAGATACTATGAAGTTGAGATAAGCCCTCTCTACTCTTCTTTGTTCAAATTCCTAAGCCACATAATTCATAAGCATAATTCCTATGGTCTAGGTTTTTGTCCCCACCAAAAACTCATGTCAAATAGTAATCCCCAATGTCGAAGGTGGGGCCTGGTGGGAGGTAATTGAATCATGGAGGTGGTCTATGAATGGTTTAGCGCCATCCTCTTGCTGCTTTTCTCATGACAGTGAGTGAGTGGGATTGTGAGATCTGGTTATTGGAATGTATGTGCCGCCTCCCCGCTCTCTCTCTTGCTTCTGTTCCTGCCATGTGATATGCCTGTTGTTTTGCCTTCCGCCATGATTGGAAGCTCCCTGAAGCCTCCCCAGAAGCAGAAACCATCATGGTTCTGTACAGCCTGCAGAACTGTGAGCCAATTAAACCTCTTTCCTTTATAAACTACACAGTCTCAGGTATTTCTTTATAGCAATGTGAGAATGGACTAATCCAATTATAAAATGGTTGTTGTTTTATGCCTTTAAGTTTGGGATGAACTGTCTTGCAACAACAGATAAGCCAAATAGTGATGATATTTTCACAACATCCTTATACATAGAGATGGTGATCAATGTTTCTCCTTATTCAACCTCTCAGTAGGTGTTGCCCCAATATGAAACAAAGAACAATCAGAGTTGATGAAAGTTTCTTAATGGAGAGGTCCTATTTCTTGAAGAAAGGTTCCTTTTCACAACTCTATTCCTTTGTAAACACAATCCTTCTGCCTAGAATGCCCACAACCCTGCTCCACCTTCCCTCCATTTCCAGATATCTGAACTTTCAAGGTTCACTTTAGATGTTTCTTCTTCTATGTTGCCCCTTGACAATTCCACCCTACCCTGGGGATAATTAGGGACTCCCTCCTGTCTGCCCCAGAACACTCTGTATTGCAGTACTCATAATATTATAGAGTTTATACATCCGCCCTACTGCCTCCCCAACTAGGCTGAGGACTCCTTGAGGGTGATAATAGCCCTTTTCTTGTATGACTTGTTTTATCAGGATACGTGGTGTATAACTGGAACTCAAGAAATAACATGAACTGTGTTAGGTGGACATTCTGCCCTATGTTCTGATTCCTGGGTTATACACAAGCCAGCAGTGTCCTACACCACCTAACAAAGAATTAGAAACCTTGATAAAAAGACTGGTAAACACAGACTTACACCCACAGAACCTATTTAGTTAACAACCTTTTGCCATAAAGTCTCTTGAGAAGTTACCCTTTTCCAAACAACTTCTTCTAAAATACATATATATATATATATACACACACACACACACACACACAGATAGATAGATAGATAGATACTCTAAAACATATAAAGTAAATAAGCATGATATTTTGACACTGCAGCTTTTGGGAAAATATGCTATTTTTATTCTAACAGTTCTTAGTCATCAGTTCTTAATCATTGAATATCAGAACAAATTTGAACTGAGTGCCGTGTTTGGATAAACTGAAAGTATTTCATTTTGTCTAAGTATGACTAGAGAGAGGGATGATGAGGTAACATCTTTTGTAATTTTTCTGTCTCTGTGTACTAAATAAATTTTCACATCTTTCCAAGTGCTCTCATCTTCAGCTATTATTTTGACTGAAATTGTCTTCTCTGCTATAACTTTAAATGTTAAGTGTGCTGTAAGTGCAAGTTAACCATGATCCTCCAAATGGTTGAAAACATTCATAAACAAAATTGTTCAGAGAGCAAAATATACCTTACAAAGAACAACTGCCTTTAACACTCCCCCACCAACCAGCACTCACCATCACATAAACCTTCATGTTATTACATTTTATGAACAAACTCTATTTTATTTTCAATTTGATGTTCATTACTTATATAATGTCATGACAATTGAAAAATATTTCTATTGTTCAGTTAAAATATTTTCCTATCTATAAAAATGCTTTGGGTATGTTGGGTTGGGATAAAATGCTTCCTAAATTTTTAAATTCAAATTCATAAAAACGCTTTTTCACATAATGGCATTTTACTTTGTGGGAGGATTTTTAGGAACAAATTAAGATTACCAAGTGAAGAACAAGTCAATTATGAAAGTGTCACTGACAAACTCTGGAATTACTGATGTGCAGAGAAGGAAAGGGAGAAGCAGGCAGATGGACTCATTAGGAGGCTTCTTCCATTATCCGGAGGAGAGACAATGATGGTTTGGATGAAGGTGGTAGCAGTGGCAGTGGTGAGTAGTGGTCAGATTCTGGATACAGTTTGAATATAGCACCACCAAGTTTTGCTGTTGGGCTAGATATGGACACACACCAGTGTGTGAGAAAAATAGGAGTCAAAAATAACTTCAAATCCAGAGATATCTAAAGCTTACCTCATACCATATGAAAGGTAAATTTGAGTTAGAACTAGGATCACAGAGTTTTTTGACATCCATCCTGGAGTTCTATCCACTCTATTTTGCTGCTTCAAAGGAGATCATCTGACATTTGAAGTCTCAATAGCCACTTTGTGACAGGAGAGCTGGAAACTTTTTTAGTTACTGCAAAAAGAAGGTCTTTATTGGGATTTTTTATTTGGAGAACTTAAAATATCTATTCTGGAACATTGAGGACCTGCAGCTGCTTTGAGGATTTACTCTAAAGCATTCTAAATCTTTAACCGGTTATTACTGAGGTCAGAGGGAGAAAGAACATTATTTTGATGTCCTTGCAGATTTTCTGGTTGACTCAAAATAACTCCACATGGCATGATGGAAAGAACATTCAACTAGGAAGCAAACTGGCTTTTGGTTTTCGGTAATACCACCAATTGGATAAGTCATAAACTCTCTAAGATTCAAATTCCTCATCTCTAAAGTAAGGAGAGTGGATAAGTAGGATTTTTCAACCCTCAGTTGATATAAACCTTGTAGAACATTCCAAGCCATCCCTGACAGCTGCCTTCTTCAGTTTCTGGGCTTAAAGAAGTATCTCAGTCACCTTGTCTTCCTGGTAAACTCAAGGTTCTGAAGACATAAGAGGAAATTCCTGTTGTTCATAAAAAACAAAGAAACCTTTAAAATCAATGGTCCTCCAAGTTCTTCTGGCTCTCAAACTTCGATTTGATATTGCTAAATCACTGCTTTTATGTATTAAAACACTTTCTGAAGTAGAAGAGGTATGGATTATAATTTTTTTTAAACATTTTAGAATAGGAAAACTAGTATTTTTGAGCTTATGCTATGCATCAGGCAATAGAATAGATATGTTAATAATGTCATTATATCCTTACAATAAGTAGGTTTTATTGTCTCGTTTTTTACAGTATGGACATCAAGGCTTAAAGAGGTTAAGTCATTTGTCTAAGACCATACAATGGTGGGGCCGGAGTTCAAACACAAGCTTTTTTGGCTCCAAAGCCTTCGGTATGACATCAACCTGTTACCAATAACAATAGCAATTGTCATTGATACATTGTAAGATATTGAAAGAGAAAAGGAGAAGAATTTACAATTTACATGCTTTTATTACTCACAAAGTGCCTTCAGACTACAGGTAGATAGGTGGTAGGACATCTGGACTGTGAGTTAACTCTCAGGAGACAAGCAATTGCATTTACTATCCTGTTCTTTCCTCCAAGGCTCCTCCACCAGCAGTTGTTAAAGCCATACTCACCCTTCACCAAGGCACGGCAATGATTCCTTCCTAAAAGCCCCGATGTGTGACATTTTCCAGTATGAAACAACTGATTGAGTTGGAACAGATTAATTTCATTAGTTTATAAAACTAAAAGAAAAAATGTAATTGTTTTGCTTTAAAAGGTGTAGGCAAAATTAAAAAATAAAAAGAGAAGAGAAAAAAAAAAACAACAAAAAGGTGCAGGCAAATTTTATTCTTTTCCCCCACTACTCTTCCTTTCTTTCCTTTCTTTCTTTCTTTCTTTCCTTCCTTCCTTCTCTTTCTTTCTTTCTTCCTTTCTTTCTTTTTCTTTTCTTCTTTCTCTTTTTTTTGGCCAACAATTTATAATTATTTAGTTGTTAATAGATGGTAAAGAGACTTTTCCGAAACTTGAATAATACTGACATGAAAAAGACTACAGTCAGCTAAAACTCCAATAAGACATAAAAAAATTTAAAACCAGAAAATTTAAATTTTCGGTTTTCAGAGGGGAAAAAAGGCAAAACAAGGTTAAAAAATGAAGCCAATGGGCAGTAAAGAGAGGGAAACTTATAATGAAAATAAACCTAGGGTTGTTTATTTTGGCAGGAGTATTTGGGTCATTTTGAAATGCAACTATGACAAAGAATTTTTCCATATTTTAGGAATAAAGAAACAAAATGCTAAAAGCTATTGCTAACATGAAAAATGGCACAACGCCTCATGAACTTTTGTCTAATAGTTGATTAATATTGCAAGTCACATTAATTTTATTATTTGCTACATAGTGACGGCTATGTTGTCTGTACAGAGACCCAGACCAGAGGCCTAGGAATATTGTACTTGAAAATAAGAATATCTTGATTAGAAAATATTTGAGATGTAACTTAGTCACTGTCTTGGGCTTAAAAGAACTTTTATATCACAAATAATAATTATTTTGTATATCGAGTAGGGGTAAAAAGAATAACTGAATGGTGGCAGCAGGCTTTGAGGTAAGATTAGATTAGGGAGATAAGGGAAGCCCAGAAACATGTTCCTTAGGACAAGGATGAAAATCTCCCTCCTTTGAGGCCACATGCTACATAACTATCTGGGATGGTTTAGGGGACAGAATCAAAGACCCTAGCAGGACTTTCCATTGTGGAGCTATAGCCAACTGTTTAGAGGACTCAGTCATATTTGCCATTCTTCTTTAATTCTCCATTGTTTCGTGCTATTATTATTTCAGTGTTTTTCCTGCCTTGGATTTTTGTCTCATGTACTTACTTCTGGTCTTTCTTTGGCATTCACTGTTTTTCTTTTGTTCCCATCTTGTGTTAACTCTAGGTGGGGAGATGGAGGAGGACGAAGGGAGACAGAAACTACAGCCTGACATCAAGAAGTTTCTCCCTTGCTAAGTACAAAATCGGGAAGAGAAATGCTTAGACACGTTTCCCACAAGGTGGGACATTTCCAACTCACCAAAGCAGAAGCTAGATGTCGAATAAAGTATAATTTATTACTTATTAGGAAATAAGGTTAAAACTAGAATCAAAGACTCTAGCAGGACTTTCAGTTGTGGTGCTAGGGACATTAAGACTGAATATAATGCAGGACTTGGTGGCTCAGGCCCATAATCACAGCACTTTGGGAGGCCAAGGTGGGAGGATCACTTGAGTCCAGGAGCTCAAGACCGGCCTGGGCAACATAATGAGACCCTCATGTCTAAAAAATAGAAATTTAGGCTGGGCGTGGTGGCTCATGCTTATAATCCTAGCACTTTGGGAGGCCGAGGCGGGTGGGTCACCTGAGGTCAGGAGTTCAAGACCAGCCTGGCCAAAATGGCAAAACCCTTTCTTTATTAAAAATACAAAAAAATTGGCCAGGCGTGGTGGTGGGTGCATGTAATCCTAGCTACTCAGGAGGCTGAGGCAGGAGAATTGCTTGAACCTGGGAGGCGGAGGTTGCAATGAGCTGAGATCATGCCACTTCACTCCAGCCTGGGCAAAAGAGCAAAACTCCATCTCAAAAAAAAAAAAAAAAAAAAAAAGAAATTTAAAATTCAAAATTTAAAAATTAGCCAGGTGTGGTGGGGCAGCCCCATAGTCCCAGCTACTTGGGAGGCTGAGGTAGGAGGATTGCCTGAGCCCGGGAGATGGAGGCTGCAGTGAGCTATGGTCATGCCAGTGCATTCCAGCCTGGGCGACAGAATGAGACCCTGCCTCAAAAAAAAAAAAAAAAAGACTGAATATTAAAGTAATAGATCAACAGTAGAAGATTGTATTAGAACATGTTTCAATATAAAAAGATACTGAGGGTCTTCATTGCTTTGAGGTTTGAAAAAAACAACAGCTGAACATTGAAGTTTTCCAGTGACTGAAGTAACAAAAAGATGAACCTAAATTGTTGTGGAAAGAGATGTTAAACATGAAGCAGATTTCCAGCTTTCTAAGGGCTATAAAAGCCATTTTAGATGAAACGCAAAGCAGACCCCACCCCTTCAAGTATGCAGTTCTACAAGAAGAATGCAATAGTGCAGTCAACAAAATAACACCAACACTACTGGCTTTTAGTTAGTTAGGCAAGTTGATTTAGAATTTTAACTATCTCTTTATTACTTGGCAGCTTTTGGGTATCTGAGTTAGGCCATGAATAATCCCCTTTGAAAACAAAACATCTCCTTCAGTGGGATAATTAGACTATTACTAAGGACAAACTATCCAACATCAAAAGCGCAGCCCCTAAGAAGTCACGCAACAGGCAGTCTTCTCCCAAAATTAAAACCATGTTCAGCAGAAAGAGGTCACTGCAATAAATTAAGGGATGTGAAATAATTATTCACAAGTTTCAGTCAAGAAGTGACAGCACAGACTATAGTGACTAGCTTCTAAAAGTGAATATGCTAATTATATTTAGTGCTTAGACTGAGGCTTGGAAACCTCTCCCCTATTTTTTGATTAAGAGTCATTAATCATTCCTGTGAGGTCACTATTATTCCAAGGCATCCTCAGTAACAGAATCAAGAATGTGGCTGCTAGCAGTACTAGAAATGCAGGGGGAAAGTCTATGGAAGGCCCAGATGGTAATAATTACATTAAGACTACCCTCAAAATTACGACTATTTTCCCTCAAGGTCAAGATGTACAATTTTCTTCGTGAACAAAATGCATAACTGAGTGAGCTATTATTAGTCATAACACCAAGCCCACCCATTTTATTTGTCAATTGAATGCCAATAAAATAATTGGCATTGCTCATAGCATTTGGTTTTTAGCTGGCTGCTAAGTTATCCATGGTGCTTCATACTTTCAAAAGCTACTAAGAAATGGTCAGAATGTAGTAATTTTCAGTTGAGTATTTCTAAGCTGGCCTCACCCAGGGACTCTCAACACTAAATTATTTGTGATCATGGAAGATGATAGGCAGATGAAGATTTCAGATTTCCTAAAAATTTTATTTAAACCACCTTTTACAATCAGCCATTTTGGGGCTATGATAATAAATGAATGCTTACTAAATTTCTTTCCTCTCTTCCTTTTTTTTTCTGGAGATGCTAAATTGCAGTGAAATAATCAAAAGGACGACATTTGAAAAGAGAAGCAAATGTAAAAGAGGAGACACTCTTTGTAAAACTGCCTTAAAAGCTACTCAGCTGGAAATTATTCTTAAAAATTAATTGTTGTACAAGAAGTTATTATGAATTCTGAAATAATTTGAGTCCACCATTGAAAATTAATAAAATTAAAATACATTCCTCATTCAGTGGGTTTAATTTGCTCTATGAAACTTTGGCACAGTAAGGCCCAGAAGTTCTGTGATCAAGATTTATTGGGTAGCTTGCCCAACTCTACCTTGCACCCTCCATGTCTCAGCTCATGTATCTGTAAAACAGAAATAACATTAGTATTTTTCTTACATGTGTTTGAACATTAGAAAATATAATTTAAGTAGAATGTTAAGACAATGAAGCCTGGAATATAGTAAGCAGTAAATATATGTAAGCAGTAAATAAATGATGCTATTGATGGTGGTTATGCAAGAGTATAGATTATCTGCAGTGTGTAAAATGACCTCAGTTTCTGCACCACCCAAGATCAGCCTGGTTCTGCCTTCTCCCTGGCAACAATGATTCTAGAGATGGTTCAGGTCATCCCCTGCCATCATAAAGTCCCTGCTATCTCCACTGCCATCCACTGAGAAGCTCCTCACATGCAGCTGTCACCAGGGGTTTCCCAGAGCTGTCCAGTAACATGAAGCAAAGGTTCAGGGGTAATATCACAACATGGAGCAGACACAGGAGAGATATGAAACTGGAAAGAATCAGTGGGTGAAAGGTTTGTCCTTTCTCCCACTCCCGTGGACTCTCCTGAGATGCAGTAGATGGCCTCCAGAAGCTGTCCCACCAGACAAAGCAGCCATCTGTGCCTCTGTGAAGCTGTGGTTAACCTGGTAATGGACTCCTTGTTATTCTTCTCCCTCCCTCTTCTCTATCTCACTCTGCTTTTTTCTCTCACTCTGGATTTCTTGGGATAACGCCCTGCCAACAGAGGGTTAATATATAAATTTTTGCCACAGGCTTTACCTGGGGTAAGAGTGCTCTATTCTCTCTGTCTCAATCTCTCTCTCTCTCTTTCTCTATTTCTTTCTCTGTGTCTCTGTCTGTGACACAAACACATACCTACCTCCTTCCACAAACATATGCAGAAACACACTGCAGTGCCCTACTGTCCACCACCCCTCTCCACCCCGCATTTCTCCAGGGCCTTACCTTTTGGGAGCTATCATGAACCTTTCTGAACACCCATCCTCATCTCATGAGTGGCATTTACCATAATGCCAACAGGGTTAACATAGGGAGATATTAACTTGATTTCATTTTCTGTTCAATATAGACATAGCTAAGAGTCATTTTTGTGTAAGATTTTACTCCTTTTACAAATTATATATTTTTTAAATTATTTCTGTTTGTTTTTACTTGTTTAAATGTAGTTCCAAATATAGCTAAGACAGTATTAACTTTACTACTAAGTAATGTTGAGTTGAAGGTTTGATAAATAGATGAAAGTTTATGTATTTTGCAATTGTCCTCTAATGTAGTTATATGTTTGCCATACCGTAAAAAGATAACTATAAATAAGGATTTAGATTTTAGAGTTTTGTAAAGAAATATAAATGCCAAATATAAAGCAGAAAAATACCTTTACTAAGTAACTACAAATAGGATCCTTTTCAATATTAATTATCTTTCCTCTCTGGTGTTAAATGCAGACGTAGCCTGTGTTAATTTACTCATCCCACAAATCATATTCGATCTAAGTACAAATATAGGCAAAGAAAGTCCCCAGCTCATGAATAAATTCTGCTCAGGAAGTTTACTAGTAAAACTACATGGGATACATTTATTCATAGAAATGATGGTGCAAAAATTATGATTAGACATTCATAGAAGCTCAACAATTACACTTATTTTATATGTGTCTAATATATATGTGCTATATATAATATATACATAAAACTACCAATATACATGTGTATACATACAGACACACACACACACACACGTATAAAACTACTATATGGTAGTACTATTTTCACCATACATAACTACAAGCTAGAACACTGTTTCTGTGGCAGTTAAAGTTCCTGTGCCAGGAATCCATTGCCTCAGGCCTAGGGGGCAGAACCAGACACTCCTTTTGCAAGCCCAGCAATTGCATAGTAAGGTTTGGGCCTTGGGAATGGGGTGGGGTGTCCTCCCTGTTCCCCAAACTTGCAAACCCTCTGTGGCTGCATAATTGCATAACAGAGGGGTATATCTTTTTATGAGTCATCTACAGCCATTGCTATTTCTATTTCAAAAGAATAAAGCTATTCTACTAGAGGTTTTAAATTAAAATCTACGAGCAGCTACCTATCATAGGGCAGGTAAAAAAAAATAGGCCAATAATTTTGTTATTTTCCCAGCACTTGTCTATTTGAATATTTATTAATTTGTATTCCATTCTTGTTCTCAAAGACACTGAAAGCAAGCCACAGATTCACTTAAAATATGGCAAGATAATCTATGTTTTTAAAATTAAGATATATTGGATAAAAGGAAACTAAGGATAGGGAAGTTTGGAGAGATCAGGAATTACCTCAATACAGATTCTCTAATGCCATGAAGTCTCTTATGCTATACTTGCTAGAGTTGGGACTCTTGTCTGGAAGCTTGTTAATACCCTCAGAAAAAAAAAAAAAATTGGCCAGTTATGATTCAGGCTGTCCACAATACAAAAACACACCAATCACCTAATTTTGATACTGAAACCAAGAAGAAATTCATTTGATATTCATAGTGCAAACTTTCCATCACATGATCAACATTCTTATTTTATTGCAAGTAATTTTGTACTTACGATAGGCAGATCTGTCAGAATTCAGTCTCATGAATCCTAAGACCTGTAAATTCCAGGATTGTCTTGCCTAACTTTGGTTAGAGAGAGTTTCTAGATGATAGGATGAGTGTTTTCCAGGATGTTCTCCACAAGTATTATTTCCCAGCTGAGCTTTTAAAGGTATTGAGTAACAGAGGGATTATACTTCCTTGCAAGTAGCTGGAATACAGCTGCATTCTGTCCAGTTAAGTTCAGGGTTTGGCAGCTGAGCTGTGGGTAGGATTAACATTTTCCCCTAAAGTCTGAGAAACAAACAAGTGTAAACCCCTGACTAGAAGACCACCAAAGAGCCACTTGAAGGTGAGTTCAAGGAGTACGTAGCTGGGCCAAGATTACCCTCAGAAAGTCATATTTGAACCATTTTAACAGAAACAAATGAACTAACAAGAGCACACACTTGACTGGGTAAAGCATTGCTTCAATATTTTTAGCCAGGAAATATGTAAAAATGAAATATTCCCAAAAGTACACCTTAAAATTCCTGTGTATAGGCAGCAAGAGATTATCTTTGACATTTTCCCTTGAATTTTAATGAAACTATTTATGAAATGTGCTATGTATCTCCAGCATTATTTAGCAGAATGCACAAAACGTATTTTAAACTCTTAGGTTAGTTCTCAGAAAACTTATAAAGAAAACTTATAATGGTGAAATAGCCTTCAATGATTTCTAAGATTCCTTTCCTTATTAGTACTTTAAATTTCACAAATATGCAGCTATAGATACAGATGTAGATGATTTGGGACACTTGGCTGAAAAGATGCCAATCTTAGTAGAAGTCATGAAACATAAACTTTCCTAACATCAATTTATTGATCTATTTACTTAACCTCTTTCTTGAAAAATAGAGGGTGTTTGCAAATATCTGGGTAAAGATGGCTAAAAATTTCTTGCTTTTCCCCTTACTGAGAAGTAGGGTCTAATTCCACTCCTAAATTTCAGCCAGCCTTAGCTACCTGCTTGACCAATAAAATGCAGTGGAAGTCAGACTTGCAGCTTCTGCCCTTGGCCTTTTGCAGCACTTACTCTTAAAGCCATGATCTGCCATGTGAGAGGTCCACCTACCCTGAGACCACCCTGCTGCGAGGAAGCCCAGGTTAGTTTTGCAGAGAGGCCATGTTGATAGAGGAGGCAATGCTGGCCAAACCCAGCACAGAAGCCAGGCATGTCAGCAAAACCTTTATGGACCCCCCAAACCAAACTAGCTACCTGCTGGCCCCAGTTGATGCCATGTGAAACCAAAGAACAATCCAGCTGCATCCTGACTGAATTCCTAGCCCCCCCAAATCATATGATATAGTAAAATGGCTCTTGTTTTAAAACACTACGTTTTGGGGTAACAAAACAAGATAATCAAAGCAATACCTCAATCATGTGCTACATACACATTATAAAATAGCTACTTTCCAAAGAACTATTACATGAATCAAGTGCATTTGCCTATACTATTCACTCATGCATTAAACACACATCCTCAGCACTACCAATATGCCAGGAAGTTTGCTAGTCACAGAGATGCAAAGTTGAATATGACTACCAATATGCCAGGAAGTTTGCTAGTCACAGAAATGCAAAGTTGTTAAGTAACTTTCTCTTGGTGGGCACACAGACAACTTAATAGTTTTAATTCTATGTGCAGGGCAACCATGTTGCACAATTCTGGGGATAAATTCACATTGCAGTCTATCTGAATGATGCCCATTGGAGTTGAGCATACACAGCCATTCAGAAGGCCATAGTGTGAATGTCCCCCAAAGTTGGACTGCATAGAGGCCTTGGTGATAAGCATTAGACTAGAAGTATGCATCCAGTGTTACAGAATCACAGAGGAGAGACAGTAAAGAATGTATTTTACCTGCAACTTTTTAAAATCTTCACTGTTAAGACACAGGGAATGAATGAGCCCAGTGAAACATTGTTATTGATAATGTAGTTTAGAAATAGTAACATTTATCCTAATGTGTATAATATAGCTGGGCTTAAGTAATTAATTTAAATTTTTACTAAACACATTTTTCAATCCACTTTAGCACACATGTAAAACTATATCAAGAAATAAAATTGAAGTGAACTCAAAAATGTGTTGAAGAAAACCCTTTAAAAAAAAAAAAAGCTTACTTTTAAAAATATAATCGTGTGTGTATACATACACATGTTGATATACATCTACATATATAACATATGAATGACATTGCTGTCGTTTTTTATTTACATTCTTTTCCCCCAAAATAAAAGATGTTTTTAGATTTTAAAAAAATAAAAAATAAATAAAAGCATACTTTTTCTAGTATTTGTATTGCAATTTTGGATGATTATTCTTTGTAAAAAATGTATTTACCACAGGTAAAATATTATGTCATACTAACTTGTGAAAAAAAAAACACTAAAAGTTCAAGAGATTGACTTAGTTTCAAATCAAACAATTTAAATTGTCAACAGTTTGAATTCTATCCAGTTGGAACTCAGTTTGAATTCCAATGGATGAAAATAAGAGAACTCAACTGACTCAGTAAGGAAAATTTACTGTCTCACATAACAAGAAATCCAGAAGTGAGGTCACTGTCAGGTTTGCTACATTAAGCAACCCCAATGACCCGAATTATTTTATCTTTCAGCTCCGCAAGTGTGAACTTTGTCTTTGGCTAGGTCCCTACATGGTTAGAAGATGGCTGTTGAAGTTCCAGACCTCACATTCTACCTTAGTATTTAACTAAAGAAAGAGATAGCATTTCTTCTCTACATCTTATCTTTAAGAACAAGAAAACCTTTCCCAGAAGCCTACCAGGTCTCCCTGTGTGTCTCATTGGCTAGGACTGTGGCTGCTATGGCAGGGGCCACACCAATGTCTACAAGGTCATTTCCTAGTGATGAATATAGACCCGCTAACTAGATAGGTAGCTGGATCAATACCTGGTTGGTCAGGACCTTGTTATTTCCCCCCAGTTCATATATTACTTCTTCATCAGCTTATTCATTCAATAAATATCAGGAGAAGGGGGAAGAGGTAAAAAGATACATGCCCTTCATACCTATTTCAGCACCTAAAGTCTTCCTAAATTGAAGAATCTGCTCTCACTGGACAAACTACAGATCCACCCTATCTGATTTCTGACTCTTTAGTAGAGTAGGGTAGAGTAGGTTTTATTACAGAGTCTTTGTTTTAGTTGACTTAGCAATAAATGCGAAACAGAAAAATTCTCCAATCCAGCATTTAGTTTTTCAGTATAAACCAAAAATGCAGAGTTCTAGGGCTAGGGCTGTAATCTTATTCAAATATCTTAACACACCCTCAAAGCAAAAATATTTGGAAGTTAAGTTGCAATATTTTTTCTTGTAATTATCTTCATTATAGTGTTACTTTAATTCCAAATGGTTAAACAAAGCATATTTGTAAAATTGAAAGAAGCCTCCAGGTCACATACCAAAGAGACAAAGAAATTCCTGTCTTTCCTATTTTGAGTAAAGCAACTTTCCTTTAAATCTTTTTCCTGTAAAGCAAGTTGTTAATATTCATTACCTATGGAAGAGAAGTTGCCTATCTTATGCTACTGCTTAATTATATAAAGTCACCAGTAGCTCAAACTAAAATGTGTCTGTGTGTAGAATAATGCTGAAACATTGATATTTTTCTCCAATTACTTCTCCCTTCATCTCAGAGTACTAGAGAGAGATTATAACAGGAGGAAATGAATTAGGATTAATGGTTATTAATTTATACTCAAAGATGACACAGAAATCTACATTTTCTAGCTCTTCGGTCACCTAACACTCCATGTGGAAGAGAAGGGTGAAGACCATCTAGTTCAAAACAACTAAATGTGTGTAGTCACTTCTCATTTACACCAATGAAGTTGAGGAATGGTTCAAATAAGTAAATAATCTTTTCAGTACAATTGGATCAACTACCACACACATTAGACATTTCCCAAATCTTCATCATACTCCATTCTTAATTTAAGGCTAATAATTCTAAGAGCTCATGATCTATTTACTTACAATGCTCCAGGGTCATCTCAAAACTCAACTTGCTTGTTCTCATCCTCCCAGCTGCCTGAGACAGAAATTTTCTGGTTTCTCTTGACTTGTTCCTTTTCCTCATTTCCTGTAGTTAATTTATCTCAATGACCTGTGTTCTGTCTCTGAAGTCAGTGAGTTCTAAACCTGTTGGCACATGAGAAAACATAGGAGGACAGCTATTAAAATGCTTATTCCTGATACTCAAACCTGAAAATTTAGTGGGGATTGGCTCTATATTTTGTTTAAAGCTCCCCAAATAATTCTGATGGATAGTCAGTTTTCATAAACATTGCCTTTAAATATTTATCTAATTTCTCTTATTCTCTCCATCTGTGTTGGAATTACATGAAATTCCTATCTCCTACCTAAAGTATTCCAATAGTTTCCTAATTTTTTTTCTCTCTTACTCCATTAATCTCCTTTGGATTTCAGTTGATTCTCTACAGTGATTATGTCATTCTCTTTTTAAAACTTTTAATAGAATTGTGGTTCATTTTGTAGGATGGTAGTATCTGGAGGATCAGAGGAGGACTTGTGGGATGTTGGTAATGTTCTGTTTCTTATTCTGTCTGTTGGCTACATGGGCCTGCTCTCTTTTTGAATATTCACCAGGGGCTACCTTTAGATGTATTCCTTTTTCTATTTTTATATTATGTTTCATTTTTTAAAAAGTGAAAACAAAACTGATAGCTCCTCTTCAGGTACTTCTCTGCTCTCCTCCCCTGTACTGCATTTCTGGCTATTTTTCTACCATGACTTTGTTCTTTTGCACAGACACTGTTCCTTCTCCTTAGAATACCTTTCCTGCCTTCTCCACTTGGTAACTTTCTCAGGAACTGTCTTACCTTTAAATAAAGTTAGTTGCTTCCTATTCTATGTTCCCATATTACTTTACTTATTAATCTGTTTCTGTTGTTATTACATTATTGTGTGGTGTTTTGTTTCCACCTCTGTATCTCAGGTTGTAGAGTAACTATTTTATTCATCTTTATGGTCCCATGCAGAGAACAGCAAGTGCATATTACTGCAATTGGCAAATACTATGAGCTCAATAATGCTTTTTAAAATAATATAAATGAGTCCTTGAGTATATATTGTGGTTTCATTGACAAGACAGGTGTCTTAGACAGTTTAGGCTGCCATAACAAAGTACCATAAACTGGTGGCTTATAAACAACAGAAATTTATTTCTCGCAGTTCTAGAGGATGGAAGTTTGAGATGAGGGTGTCAGCTTGGTCAGGTTCTGGTGAGGGCCTTCTTCCAGGCTGTAGCCTGCTGACTTTTTGTTGTATCCTCACATGGTGAAAACAAAGTGAGAGAGCTCTATAGGATGCTTTTTATAAGGCCACTAATCCCATTCATGAGGGCTCCATCCTCATTACCTAATTGCTTCTCAAAGGCCCCTGTGCTAGTACCACCGTATTGGAGGTTAGGACTTCAACATATGAATTTGAAGGGAACGGAAACATTCCATAACAATAGGAAATCTTGTATCAGAAAGGAAAGGGATGTAGACTAAATCCTGTTTTTAGGGATGAAGTTATGGTTGTTAGACACACGTACATTGAATTTGGATTGAATACAAGCACAACTGAATCACTGAATGTGGTTAATCATGACTACAGTAATAATCTGAACTGATGAAGAACCCAAGCCTAGGAAGCAAAAGCCCTGGGTTACAGTTCAGGCTCCAAAATCCTGGAGCTTTGGATAGGTCATTTCATCTTGTAAGTCCTCCTACTTTCTATATTCATAAAACGGGATAAGTGAAGCTTTTAAATAGATTTCCAAGGTCCCCTGCTTAAGATGCATCCCATTGTGTCTGCATAATCATCAAGAGGAAGAAGCTATCAGTGTTTCACAATTCATCATGTGAACTGTCAGTTAGGATGCATAAATGTGATTCTTTTGATCTGTGTTTCTTTTCATTTCTACTCTATTAGAGTATATCAGTCATGAGATGAATAAATTCTATCAATTTATGTTCAACAGAGAAAAAAGTTATGCAATTATTTAAAAATGTAATGTATCCTTTAGCAGCCAACTTTCCTAAGGATTGTAAAAACAACTTTATTGAGATATAAGTCATATGCTATACAAATCGCTCATTGAAAGTTTACAATTCAATAGTTTTCAGTATATTCAGAGTTGTGCAAATACCATCGCAATGAATTAGACATTTTATTACCCTCCCCACCAAAAAATCCTGTACCATTATCAATTAATCCCTCAACTCCACCTCCCTGACTCTCAGACTTAGTCAACACAGATCTACTTTCTGTTTCTATAGAGTTGCCAATTCTGGATGTTTCATATAAATAGAATCATTAAATATGTGGTTCTTTGAGAAGGGCTTCTTTCACTGAGCATATTTTCAAGGCTGACCAATCTTGTAACTTTATTCCTCTTTATTGGAAAATAATATTCCATTGTGTAGATAACCACATTTATCCGCTCATCAATTGAAGGAACTATCAATTGTCTATTACAAATGATGCTTATATGAACTTTCATGTACAAGATTTTCTATGGATGTGTTTTCATTTCTCTTGAGTATATGCTGACAGAGACTCTCTCCTTAGGCAACCTTCTCATGTTTTTCTGAGCCTTCTTGGCCTGCCACTCTGCCCTTGCCCAGTTCAGTTTTAGCAAAGAATACATGTAAGTCAGTTTAGCAAGAAGCTTTCCCGCCCTTCATATCTAATCAAGTTCCTCATTCTTCACCCTTGATATCCAAGTTTTTGACCAATCTTTAGCAATCCTGTTAAGCTACTTTGCAGGAATCCACTTCCTGATGTCTCTCATCAAATTCCTTTCAGTAATTTTTCTGTCTACTGACCCCTTTGCTCTGCTCATCTGGTGACTTTTGCTGTAGTTGGAGTTTAGCTCAGTTCTGTACTGAAGTCTTTATCCCTACTTGTATTAGTCCATTCTTACACTGCTAATAAAGACATACCAAGTAATTTATAAAGAGGTTTAATTGACTCACAGCTCCACATGGCTGGGGAGACCTCACAATCATGGCTGAAGGCAAATGAGAAGCAAAGTTATGTTTTACATGGTCTCGGGCAAGACAGTTTGTGTAGGGGAACTCCCCTTTAAAAAACCATCAAATCTCGCGAGATTTATTCACTATCACAGGAACAGTACCGGAAAGACCCACCCCCATGATTCAATTACCTCCCACCTGGTCCCTCCCACAACATGTGGGAATTATGGGAGCTACAGTTAAAGATGAGATTTGGGTGGGGCACAGTCAAACCATATCACTATTGTAATAGCTCAAATAAAATCTGTCTTGCCACTTTTAACAAATGTCCAGCACATTTTTTCCAAAACCTAGCAGTAGAATTGTTGGGTCATATGTTAATTCTGTTTAAACTTTGAGGAAGTCTTAGACTGTTTTCCAAAGTGGCTGAACCATTTTACCTTTCCACTTGCAATGTGTGAGAGTTCCAGTTTCTTAACACTCTTGCCAACATTTATTATCAACTGTCTTTTTAATTTTAGCCATCATTGTGGGTATCAGAGGTATCTCATCGTGGTTTCAGTTTGTCTAATGGATAACATTGTTTAGTATCAGCTCTACATATACAGAGTGCATATTGGCCAATGATCTTTGGGAAAATACCTTCTTAGATCTTAGATTCCTTGCCCATATTTATATTGAGTTATTTGTACTTTATTTTTTATTCATTTATTTTTTTTGAGATAGAGTCTCGCTCTGTCACTCAGGCTAGAGTTCAGTGGCGCAATCTCGGCTCACTGCAAGCCCTGCCTCCCGGGTTCATGCCATTCTCCTGCCTCAGCCTCCCTAGTAGCTGGGACTACAGGTGCCTGCCACCACACCCAGCTAATTTTTTGTATTTTTTTAGTAGAGACGGAATTTCACCATGTTAGCCAGGATGGTCTCCATCTGACCTCATGATCCGCCTGCCTTGGCCTCCCAAAGTGCTGGGATTACAGGCGTGAGCCACCACGCCTGGCCTGAGTTATTTGCACTTTTATTATTGAGTTGTAAGAGTTCCTTATATAATCTGTTTGAAAATTCCTATCATATATGTAAGAAAAATGCTGGCCACGTGGAAAGAGTTGAAAAGCGTTCCTTCTTTGATTAGTTTATTTGGGCAGCTATAACAAAATGCCATAGACTAAGTGGCTTATAAACAATAGAAATTTACTTCTGAGAGTTCAGGAGGCTAGGAAATTCAAGATTTTAAAAAATGGCATATTTGGTGCCTATTGAGGGCCTACTTCCTGATTCTCATATGCAGCTGCCTTCTCACTATAACTTTCACATAATGGAAGGGATGAGGGAGTCCTCTGGCACTTCTTTTATGAGGGCACTAATCCCATTCATGAGAGCTTTACTTTCATCACCTAATCACCTCTCAATGGCCCCACCACCTAAGACTATCACTCATGAGAGCTTTACTTTCATCACCTAATCACCTCTCAATGGCCCCACCACCTAAGACTATCACATCAGGATTTAACACAGGAATTTTGTTAGTATTTAACATATGAATTTTAGTCTACAGCACTCCATTACTATTTTTTGGAAATATTTGTGAAGAACAGGTATTATTTCTTTAGTGGAATTCACCAGTAAAGCCATCTGGGCCAGAGCTTTTGTTTGTGGGAAGTTAAAAAATTATGAATTCAACCTCTTTACTTGTTATAGATCTAATTAGTTTTCTTTCTTCTTGAGTCAGTTTTAATAGTTTGTGCCTTTCTAGGAATTTGGTCATTTTAGCTAAATTACATAACTTAGTGGCATACAGTTCTTCATAGTATTCTCTTTTAATCATTTTTATTTCAGTAAGATCAGTAGTGATCGCCTTTCTTTCATTCCGGATTTTAGTATAATAATTTGAGTCCTCTCTGTTATTTTCTTGGTCAGTCAAAGATCAATTTTGTTGATCTTTGCAAAAACCGACATTTGGTTTCATTGATTGTATCTACTATACTTCCACTATCTATTTAACTAATTTGTGTTCTATTCTTTATTTTTTACCTCCTTTCTACTGACATTAGGTTTAGTTTGCTCTCCTTTTCCGGTGTGTCTAAAATGGGAGTTTAGGTTATTGATTTGAAATCTTTCTATTCAAATAGGCATTTACAGCTATAAATTTCCCTCTAAGCACTGCATTCCCTGAGTTTGGACATATTTTCACTTTTATTCATCTTAAAGCATTTTCTAATTTCCTTGGTACTTTATTTTTGACCCATTCGTTATTATTTAGAAGTACATTGTTTAATTTCAATGTAATTTTGAATTTCCCAAATTTCCTTCTATTATAGATTTCTCATTTATTTGATTGTGGTTGGAGATATACTTTTTATGATTTCAACCTTTCAAATTCATCAGTCTTGTTTTATGTACCGGTATATGATATGTCTTAGAGAAATTACCATGTGTGCTTGAGAAGAATGTGTATTCTGCTATTGTTGAAAGAAATGTTCCAGAGATTTCTATTAGGTTTACTTCATTTATACTGTTGTTCAAGTCTTCTATAGACTTGTTGATCTTCTGCCTAATTGTTCTATCCAGTATTGAAAGTGGAATATTTAACTATTTTTGTTCAATATACTATTTCTGTCTTCAATTCCATCAGATTTTTAAATGAATTTTGGGACATCGTTGTTATGTGTATATACGTTAAAATTTATTATATATACTTGATGGATTAACAATTTTATTATAAAATGTTCTTTTATCTCTAGTAACATTTTTCATATAAGTTTGCTTGTCCAATAAAAGTATAGTCACTCCAGCTGTCTTATGGTTTCTACTTGTATGGTATATTTTTTTCCAAGATTTTTCTTTCAATATGTTTGTATTTTTGAATCCAAAATGTGACTTTTGTTCTTTTTTTATTTTATTTTTTGAGACACAGTCTGGCTCTACCACCCAGGCTGGAGTGCAGTGGTGTAATCTCAACTCATTGCAGTCTCCACCTCTGGGTTCAAGTGATTCTCCTGCCTTAGCGTCCTGAGCTGCTGGTACTACAGACATGTGCCACCACGTCTAGCTAATTATTTTTGTATTTTTAGTAAAGACTGGGTTTCACCATGTTGGCCAGGCTGGTCTCAAACTCCTGGCCTCAAGTGATCCACCAACCTCAGCCTACCAAAGTGCTGGGATTACAGGCATGAGCCACCACACCTGGCCTAAAATGTGACTTTTGCAGACAACATATAATTGGATTTTTTTATTTGTTAGTTTTAATCCAGTCTCATAATCTTTGGTTTTTGACTGGATTGTTTAATCCATTCATACTTGATGTTACTATTGGTATGTTTAAATTTATATTTTCTATTTTATCTACTTTTCATATCTTTTTTATTCTTCTGTTCTTCCTTTGCTTTTTTCATTAATTTTATTAATAATTTTGGTATATCTTTTAATCATTTTATTATTGCACTGTGCTTTTAGTATATGTGCTGACAAACCAAACACACTCTTTTTTTAAAGTAATTTTCTTAGTAGTTGTTGTAGGTTTTACAATATACAAATTAACTTGCCAGGATATATTTCAGATTTATATTAAATTCTAGTGAGATAAAAAATGTATTCATATATAGCCCTATTTTTTCCTCCCTCTTTTCATGCTCTCATTGCTATACATACTATGGCTATGTTACAAACCCAATGATATATTGTTATAATTATTACTTTAAATAGTTTTTTGTCATGGAAGAAACTGAGAGAAGAAAGGAGAGCAAGTGTATTTTATTTTAATTTTTATAAATTGTTTTTACTACACTTTTTGTTGGGTTACTTCCTTAGTGATTGCTCTTTGACTTACAATACAGATTTTAACTTATCAGAATATACCTCAGATTTATACTACTTAATTACAGTGAGATATAACAATGTTAATCTTTTAAACCTGTTGTATTTTATTTTGTTTTTGAGACAGGGCCTCACTCCATTGCCCAGGCTGGAATGCAATGGCGCGATCATGGCTTACTGCATCCTAGACCACCTGGGCTCAAGCAATCCTTCCACCTCAGCCTCCCAAGTAGCTCGGACCACAGCCGGCTAAGTTTTTTGTATTTTGTAAAATAGAGACAAGGTTTCGCCATGTTGCCTAGGCTGGTCTTGAACTTCTGGGCTCAAGTGATTCTTAATCTCCCAAAGTGCCAGGATTACAGATGTGATCCACCATGCCTGGCCAAAAAAATGCTTTAAATAAATATAAATGCCTCTCCTTTTGTGCTACTATTGTTATGCATATCAGGTACATAAAATGTATTGAGATAATTATTACTTTGTACAATTTTATGTCCTCTAAAGAAGTTAAAGAAGAAAGGGGAGCAACTATATATTTATAGAGTTTGTTATATTAAACTTCTCATTTCTATTTCTGGTTTTCTTCATTTCTTCCTGTGGATTTCAGTTACTCTCTGTTGTCATTTTCTTACTCTAATACAACTTTGTGCTGTTACTGCAAATATGTTATATGTCTATATATTGTAGATTCAACAAAATACTTACATACATATTGTTTTATACAACTTCTTTTTAAATCTGTTCAAGGAATAAGGGAGAAAAAAGTCTAATTATAGTGTCTTTACAGTTACCTACATAATTACCTTTCCCAACACTTTTTTAAAAATGTGGATTAAAAGCAATAATAACCAAAATAAAAACTTACTAGAGAGATTAAATTCAAGCTTTGAATTGACAGAATGACAGACATCAGACAGAATTACTCTCTGATGTCACTTGCCTTCAGCCTGAAGAACTTTCTTTTGCATACCTTGTAAAGTAGTTTTTGATAACCAAAATTTACCTCAGTTTTTTTGTATATGGAAATGTCTTTGACTTCATTTTTGAAAGCGTGTTTCTTAAGATAGGATTTTTGGTTTATAATATTTTTCTTTTAGCCCTTTGAATATGTCATCCCACTGCCTTCTGGCATCCATTGGTTCTGATGATGAATCAGCTATTGGTCTTATTGCTAATGTGGTGTGTGATTTTTCTCTTGCTGTTTTTAGGATTTTTCTCTTTGTCTTTCAACTTTTTAACTATAATGTATCTGAATGTGGATCTCTTTGTATTCACCATCATTTGGAGTTCAGTTCTTCAATTATACTTGATGGTATTCCACATTTCTCTGAAGTTGTTTTTTGTTTTTTCACTCTTCTCTCTTTTCTTCAGATTGCATACACTCTACTGATCTGCCTTCAAGTTCATTGATTATTTCTTCTGTCAACTGGAAGTTTGAATTTAACCTCCCTAGTAAGTTTTTATTTTGGTTATTACACTTTTAACCCCCTAAACTTCCATTTACCTCTTTAAAAAAATAATTTCTATATATTTATTGATAGTCTCTGTTTGATGAGGCAGTATAATTATATCTTCCTTTAATTCTTTAAGCATGGTTTGTTTAAATTCCTTGAACATATTTGTAATAGCTGCTTTGGAGTCTTAGTTAAGTCCAACATTTGGGCCCTTTCAAAAGTAGTCTCTGCTGCCTGTTTTTCTTCCTATGTATCAGTCATGCTTCCCTGTTTCTTTGTATGCTTCACCATTTTGCATTGAAAACTCAGCATAAAAACTCGATACTGATCTTCCTCCCACCAACTTTGAACTTACTCTAATTGTTTGCTGGTTTAGTTGCTTAGTGAACTTGCTGGACTATTTTAGCTAATTCTATTTTCACTTCAGTGTTCAGCCTCTGACTTTGTTCCTTGGATGGCACAGTCCTGGGCATGTGCATAGCCACTCTACATCCTACATGCTGAGGGATGACAATGGTTTTAGCTGGAATCTCTTTGACTTTCTCTTTCCTTGTCCATGCAAAGCTTCTAAGTGGTCTGCCTCTGGTGTCATAACTTTCTAGCTATTGAACTTTCATAATTGCTAGCTGATTGTTCTTTTTTGATAATGTTCAGGGGCACAAATTACTTCACACTCTGAACCAAGGAATATCATCTCTTTTACAAAGATGGTCTTTGAGGCCAATCTTCACAGCTTGGTCAGACCCCAGGAGGACTCTTCTAGGCTCTCTTTCCCTGATTCTCTGTTAAACTTCTAGCTAACCTACTATTTCACTTGTTCTCATGGAGCTACCTGCCTTTCCTTAATTGCTTACCACCAAAATCTTCTTCATTTTTTTTGAATTCACAGCATTCTTAGGCTTGAACTTCCCCAAACTCTGTTCAAAATAAACCCAGTCACCATGATGTGAGCTATGGATCTCTCTATGCTTACAGTCTGCTTCTCTTCCTGTGCAGGACCTACATAATGGCCTGCTTGTCTCAGAGTAATATGCCTAATCTCTAAGTAGGGTGCTAGGTAGGGCAGTAGCCCCTTGGCCTTCTTGGCTTTCCTTTCCCAGTGTGGAACCTCTGCTCTGTGAAAAAACTCATAGAATTCCTCATCTTATGAACGAGAGTTGGTTAGAGAAAAGAGTCCCAGACCTCAATGGCTGCCGGGATAGAGTTTCTGCAACACAGAACAGAGGATGATGAGACACGCTGGTAGCCCTTTCTGCATTGAGAGAAAATGTAACCCTAGACTAGGAGCAGAAGGAACAGAGAGTCATACCTTGGTTGCACAAACCCAGAGTAGAACTTCCATCACACTGTCCTGGGGTTGGGGTGGAAAAGAATGGGTGATGGCTCAAATGGCACAGAATCTTACTCCTCTAACTCAGATTTAATAGCTTTTCCCAAGTCAGTGTTTCCCCATTTGCTATATGTCCTTAGGACAATTTCCAGAGACTTTACATGGTTGGTTTTTAAATGATTTTCACCAGTTATAGTTGTTTCACTGGAGAGAGCATCAGAAGAGCCTCTCATTCTGTCACTCCAGAAATACTTCTCCTCCTAGCTTGTTTTGTTAGGGAATTCACAAAAAATTTTAGTATCATATTCCCATAAAATAGAATTGGAAAGTAGAAAATCAATCAATATGAAAGGAGGGAAAAAGCTTTTAAAACAAGCCACTATTTGAATTACTATGAACCTTATTTTTTTTCAAACTAACATGCGAAGTGTTGATTTAATTAAAGTTCAAAGTTAAAGAGACTTCATTTTTTGGCAAAATGGTGATTAGATATTCTGACATCTTCAAGCATAAAATGCCCAAGATGCTGGATAAAGTATAAGAATCATGTTTTAAAAAACACCCATAACCTGGCAAGGAAGTAAGAGAAATAGTCAGAGTGGTAATTTTTTTCTTAATAAATGTTTGCATACAAGGATTTCTATTAAATAAGAGTTTCCTCGTCTCATTAAGCAGAAGTACAGAGATTGGCTGTCCTTAGCCAATGCAGCAGCTCCATCTGCATCCCTGGATCCTTTTATGTTCTGTTACATCTTTCATACTGTAGGTCTTTCACCCTCAAACTGATATCCCATGGATTCAAAATCACTGTTCTATCTCTAACCTCATGTCTGCACTCCAGGATAGTCTAAAATGAAGAAAGCAGCAAAAGAAGGGCCAAGACCTATCTGAGAGATGAAAAACTTTTTGTGAATCTCCAACAGATTCTGATTGTATCTTCTTGGCAAGAACTGTGTCACATAGCTACATCTAGTTACCAAAAGAGGCTGGGAAATATATTTTTTGAAGTTGGATACCTTACTGCTAGGGGGAAAGAAAGCCAAGTTTCTAAGAAAAGAATGAAAAATGGGTATTGGATAGGCAACTAGTAGTGTGTTGCCACAGCAAGAGTATGGAAAAAAGGAGATGCTTATACATTGGTATTCACAGTATAATTTGGCACAATGGCTTTGAAGAATAATTTAGCTATAGCTATTAAACTTAGAGAAAGAAATGAATGAACTAGGGCTACTGATATCAACATGGACAAATTGCAAAGCAGATCCCATATTTGGAAAAACCAAACACTTGTTCAGGAGCACAACTTTCCTAATTATAAGGAAGCAGCCTGGTTTAGTGGCAAGAACATTAATTTGGGAGCCAGCAGACTAAGTCTCAAATCCCTCCTTTGAAATCTGAGGACTCTGTATCCTTAAGCCAGTTGTTTTACCTCTCTACCTGCTTCTCCATCTATAAAATCAGAGCAAACATCCCTGTGTTCTAGGATTGTTGTGCAGATTACAGATACTCTGTTTTAATGTGGTTAGTCTTGGATCCGATCCTTATTAGGTGCATAGTAAATTGATGCTCTGATGCATAAATTAGTTTCTTAGTTTCTGTGCCCTGAGTGACTTCATACACAAACTGTGGTATCACTTGAAACTGCTATTGAAACCCTAAAATTGTTTGAACCAGCTTTTTGGATTCCCATTGTCATTAAGTTCTAAGCTATCCTTTCCAATGACACACCCAGGACAAAATAAACCAGAAAATGGAAATTGTGTAGTTTTTTACATAAATTTAAACCCAAGAGGCCATGATTCTTAAGGCATTCTAACAACACTAAAAAGTGTATCTTTTTACAAGATAGGGAAAATACTATAAGTATTTGAATGTCTAGTACAACTCTTACTTTATATTTTGTATATAGTCCATGTTCTTAAGTTTACAAGATTTTTTGTAAATCTAGGACTCTTAGCACTTACAAGAAAGTGTTTTTATATGTATCATAAGCAATGTTATTATGTTGCTTACCTCTTTTAGAAGATGCTAAAAGCAAAGTTATGATGAGTTGGCAGTGTTTACAAAAAAAATTCTAAAGAGACGCCAATATAAACACACATGTTGGACAAGGGCCACTTGGTACAAGAGTTAATGCTAAGATCTTATATGTTATAAGATAAAATACCAGACTTCAAACAGTATCCCTCACTCCTTCCTTAATGTATGGGCAGCATATTTCTCCATGGTTACTTTGGGGCCATACTTTTGATTGAAATGTTTCATCTTTTGTGCAAAAAAACATTTTAGGGGCATTAATAGATGACATTTTATAATAGATTCTTTAGAGTTGATTTGATCTTTTCTAGCTTTAAAAAACAGAAGAACAAAAATCCAATATAGAAACATGAGGAAAGTAATGAGTACTTTTTAGTCTTAAAGGAGAGACTGAAGGAAGTAATTTACTGGTCAAGTGTTTGATTGGCAAGACTAAGCCCACCATGTTCCAGAGAAGGCCATCACCTGAATCAAGTACATAAATGTTCACAGTGCAAAATGACTGCTTCTTAAGAGATCCTTTCACCTCTGTAAAGGTGTCACAATTTCATACATTTACCACTTTAGGAAGAGTGAGTGATTTTAATATATGATTAACAGTTATCAATAATGTAGTTTAACTATTTTACAGATGAACTGCCCTTGAATGTGAGAAAATGAGATTACTGGCCAAGCTGCATCAGATGATGTTGATGGGGAGAGAAAGATCCAAAATCTCAGAAGGTTGTCAGAGTGGGGACATTCTGGAGGAAGAGAGGATAAAGGAAGAAAGAAAGCAGGAGGGAGCTGGCAACAGAATTGACTTACTTTCTAGTCATGTCTGAACCTTCGAAGAAAGAAGACAGATAGAAGAAGGAATACTAATGCTTCAAGAAGGTAGGAGCCTGTCAGACTGTGTTCCATCTTGGGCTTGAAACTAGAGACCAAAACCTGAATATTGGGGAAAAAAGAAAAGATGGGTGCTCTTGAGAAGACTAAAAGATGCGCATACCTTCCACCCTGCCATTAGTCTTGTGGGAAGTGTGGATCACCTGTTGAGGCTCTGAAACTTGGGTCTGTGTTTCTCTGCAAAGGAATGCCAAGAATGTCCAAGTGAAAAAAATAGACAGAGAAAAGAACTACTTCTGGAAGGGCAGGAAAACTTAAGGGTAGGCAAATGGGAGTAAATCATTCTTTAGCTAACATATTGGGAAAATCATTAAAGAGAAAGAACATTTTTAACTGGCAGGTTACAAAATAAATTTTTATTTTTATTTACAACCCTTTACTCAAACACTTTGTGGAAGAAATGTTCAAAATTGGATCTACATTGAGCCACAGGCAAAGAGGTTAGAGTGGTTTTTATCTTTTTCAGCAAAAATAAGACTTAGAAATGATAAGTAACCCAAAGTGTGAATATGATTGCCCTCCATGCTTTTTCTCCAAATATGAATCTCATTTGGCTACCATTATTTTCCTGTCTTGATGAGATATCTTCCATTTATTCATTCTTTGATTCATTTCTGTTTAGAATAGACATTGGATGTATTGCTATAATCATTCAAGCCCAGTAGCAAACAGTATACTATAATCTCTCACATTGCAGTCCCAGGCAGGGAGGAAGTTCTGACAACCTGAATGCTGCTGTTCAGAAGGTCTCCCTGGAAGGAAAAAATGCCAACAGCGTGTCTAACCACAAAGAGAGCAGAAGCCTTCCAAAAGCTACAGAAGAAGAGACAAGGTTCCCTCTCTCAACTCAAGTTAAAGACACTTCCATCAAAAAGGCATTTCTAAAGGATTTTGCAGTGATTTATTGAGATTTTCCCCCCAAGAAACCCCAAATCAGAAGGTTTTGATCTATTAAAGCAATATAAAACATGGTGTCAGTAAAATTTCTGGTGAAATATTTCCTGAAACTAGCTAGTAATCAAAATTCAAATGTCACCAAATGGAGGCGGGGGAATAGTCTACCTGTGCACCTCTTGCACTAATTTAACTAGAGGTTCTTTCCTGTTTATCTGGGTACCCAGCTCTGGAAGTGCTGTTTGGAATACTAGGTGTTTGAGGCCCACAGAATGAAGTTCAAACTCTGCCTCTGTGTATAATAACTAAACATGGGGAAGTTATTTCACACCTTTGACACTTTCGCATCTATAAAATAAGGATGACAAAATTCACTTAATGAGATGGTTGCATGGATTACATAATATACATTGCCAAGTTATAGCACAGCGTTTAGCATACCACTCAATCAAGTGCAGGTGGTTAACTTTTATTAATCAATTTGTGTTGTCTAAATATTTTTTTGTTCTATAAGACATGAAACAATGAATACAGTTATGTTTGAAATTATTTTATATGTTCAAAACTTTCAGCCAATTTTACATGATTAATTGACCTGTGATATCTAAAAAAGAAAATTGTCTCTTTGTTTAAAACAACAACAATAAAATAAAAAGAACTAGAGGTTGAGACTAAGACCAGGAAATCTTCATTAAGCCTTTATTCAGTGGTAGGCCTGTGCTGTGTTTGGGTGCTAGAAAGATAATTAAGAAAGGTTTCTCTCTATATAATTTGGTGAAATATGTTTAGATTAGTATCTTTGTTTATTTTCTGTTGCTCATAGTAGAATATCTGAAACTGGGCAATTTATAAAGAAAAGGATTTTTTTTTCTTGCAGTTATGGAGACTGGAAATTTCATGATCTGGGGGCACATCTGGTGGGAGCCTTCCTGATGGTGGGGACTCACTGTGGTGTCCTTAGGTAGTGGCAGGCATCACATGGCAAGGGGGCATGCAAGTTAAGGTGCTATCTTAGACCTCTCTTCTTCTTATAAAGCCATGATTTCCCCTCCCATGATAATCCATTAATCCATAAATCAATTGATCTATTTAGAAGGGCAGAGCCCTCATGATCCAATCACTTCTTAAAGGCCTCCCCACCCAATACTGCCACACTGGGGACTAGGCATCAACATGAGTTCTGGAGAGGACATTCAAAACCATAGCAATTAGGAATCATATGGGACTGGATGGCACCTGTGGTCCTCTGTGACCAGGTGCCTGCTTCCCTCTTCATTTTCACCAATCCCTCAATGCTCTTGCCTCACTCTTTACTCCAGCACACCAAAAGCTTGCTCTCTGGCACCAATGTGCTACTTTTATGGATTCCTTTGCTCAAGCTATCATCTAAGTCTGGCTACCTCCTAGTTATTCTTGAAGACTTAACCCAAGCATCATGACACCCTCAATTCATCTTCCCTTCCCCTCCTCTTCCACTCCATGTCTCCCATCCCCACTAAAACAGGTTAGGTGTTACTCCTTGGGGTTTTCATAATACCCATGCATATTCCTATAACTGTAGTTATTATGACAACCATAAGCTCTTTAGACTGTAACTTATTCATCTCTGAACTTTTTCTTCCAAGCACAGAGCCTGGCACCTAATACAAACTCAAAAATAATTAATGGGATGAATAGACTAATAACTTCTTGTTAGAAAACAATTCAATAGTAGTGGTAGACACAAAGACAAGATCTCTGATTTGGGATTAAAATCTCCACTCACCAGATCCCACGGCATTCCTTGGAGAATTCTGGACAATGCTAATATATCATCTTGTTTTTTGAATGGGAGGATTTAGGAATAAAATATATGACTCTATTATGAGTCAAGAATCTGGCTTGAAATAAAGTCCATGTCTCTAATTATCCCACCAGAGTTTCTGTGCCTCTACTGTGCACACTACTCCAGAATAAAGGTTCTAACAAATGTTCTATGGTATCATTATTCAGTAGCAGGAAATTGTGACATGATACCTTAAGATAAATGAATCTAAGCACACCAGTTGAGTCTGGATGAGTTTAACGGAAAACCAAATTTATTCAGACTCTTTTTCTGTGACCTTGCAGGCTACCCCAAGTCTGGGGATATATATGACTAGAGATTTGACAGGACTGTTTACAAATTCATAAGATTTTATTGATTACATGATAGAAAAAAATTTAGAGTTGGTCTTACATTGTCATTTGCATTAGTGAGGTTGAGAGTTTTTGTTTGATCTCCATTCAAGCTTTTAAGAAGCTTGGAAATTGCAGGCTGAAGCAATTCAAATTTATGCAGAGTTTGACAGTGAGTTAATTACCAGAACTATGCAAAATTGAATTTTCAGAAAACAATTCTGGCATTTTTGAATAGTTGTATGTTATGAATGTACTTATACATAAGCATATGCAAGCTATCTGTCAAGTAGCTGGCGCAATTTGAAGACATGTCCACTTAACAGAAAATATTATATTTCAGAGAGTCTTACGAAGCATAGAGGAAAGACTACAAGTACTTTGCCCTTTACCCTTGAAATGTATGCAGAACCCCAAACTGGAGTTGAACTCATAATAACTGAATTCCCAGGCACCATACTTGTTAAAATAGATACAGACACTAATCCAAACATGCAGGGTGGTCTCTTCTTAAATATTCACATTCCACACACTGTCACAGACATACCTCAAATCAGAGCAAGCCTTAACATGGAAACAGAGAAGACAACCATCTCTGCAGTGTGATTTCAAACATGTTCAGGTGGCCTAGCCTCCAAAATACCACATCTTTGCACCAGCTAAAGTTTCCGAATTTGAGATTCATTTTGTGTCTTAACATTTTGAACACTGTTAAAATGAAAATTTTCTGACATATATACATAGATAATGAAAGAGAGGAAGGAACAGCTTTAAAATTATTTTTCTCTTTTCATAAATAAATTTATCAGATATTTTTCTAAAATTGATTATAAGAGGGAGAAAGATGAGAGCATGAATCCCTAGGTACCCAAAAAAAGAAGGTAGCACCTCTATTAAGTAGACAATGGATGAAAGTCGAGAAGGAGAGCATCAAAAGCAAACTTCCTACATTGATATTTTCCTAGTATGGGGCTTGGGCCCTATAATTTATATGGAAAAAAAAAACACCAAAAGCAGGTGTGGAGTTGGAGGGGGCGATGTTTTTCTTGCTCTTCACTCTGTCTCTTCAATGAGTCACATTTTTTCCATCTGAAACTTTACTTGTTTTCAAATTCTCAATATGGTCCAAAGAATTAGCCAGGAATCATTTGGTTGCAAGAAACTGACACCCCCATAAACTATACAAACTGTCAAGTTTATCGAAAAGATTAGGGAATCTCAAGGAAATAAGGTGCTGGCAATATACTGGGGTTTCAGTTAATCCAAAAGTTATGAGGCAGCCACTTTACCTCTTTGTTTCTGCAGCCACATCCCATCTCTGCTTATCTCTGCATGGCTGCCTTGTTTCTAACCTGCCTTCTTGGAAAGGCTCTTGAGTTTTGGCTTTTCCATAAATGTGGCTATCATTGGCCTGAACCCCAACTCCGGCTCTAGGTAATTGTCTAGTTCAATATCCACAACAAAACTAACTCAATATTCTAACTCTCAATTCCTGAGAGCCCAACTTGAAAAAGATTTCCAAGTCAGATCCTAAAACTGGCCAGCAAAGGGGAGTCCCTTGGTAGATATCTGCATAACAACATTAAATTTTTCAGCAGACATTTAGTGGGAGATAAATGATCTTGGAGCAATGTTTCAGAAGGAGACACTGACTAGGCTTTTCTAGGAAGTTAATAATGCAGAGATAGATGGAATTTTTTTAAAAGGTATTGCGGGATATTGTAAATTCTTCCATCACATTGGCAGGTTTTCCCCAACACTTTGGCAGGTGACTTGAGTTCTGAACCCTCCAAATAAAATATGCATGACCCCTACTAGTAATCATGGAATAAATAATTCCAAAGATTAGTCCCAAGATGTGCAAACCAAATATTTTCTCAAACAGAAGATATATACCCAGTATAAGCATACAAATTTGTTTATTTGACATATATCAGTAGAATGGTTATGTGGTGCTTTGCCAGTAAGTAAAGAAACAAAAGGTGGGAAAAAGAAATCAATTACAAAAATCAGAACCTTCTAAATGATGTTCCTAAATAGAACATTTTGGAACACCCAAGATCAAGATTAAACAGGAGATAGGAGAAACATGCAGGAGCATCTGGGCTCACAAAATCTTTTTTGGTATATTGTGGAATTTTCTGAGCCTTATGAATATCAGGAAAAGGAAAAGTCCTCCTTATATGATTTCTTCTCCTCCCTTTGGTATACTACATAGTTCCCAGCTCCATGGACCTAAAACCCAGGCTCTAATAATGTAGTATTAGGTTAATTTCCATGTGAATGAGGACTTTTGCCCAGTCTTGCTATCTTAACCATTTCTTATTTTGTATGACAAAATGTTTTAAGATTCAAATCATTAAACTTACAAATAAATTTCCACAACCAGTTCTCCATTGTGAACTGTTTATATATCTAGTAGAAACTCTACTGTAGTAGAAACACCACTTAACCAACTTACAAAAGAACAAATGTTGCCCATCGCTGTGCTTGTGGCTAGTACTATTTCTGTTCTCATGGGTTCAGCTATATTCCTAAAGAATCAGGGTTTTCATTCCTAAATGTCTTTATGCCAGTTGTACTTGTTTTTGTAATTTTGTGATTAAATTAAATATTACTTAGACTGATGATATGTGAGTGGGAAAATTTTGAACACTTTGGAAAGGCTAAATAAATGTGAGTTGTTAAAAATTACAATGTACTTAGAAATTCCTCACACCTGTCATTTTATTCCATAATCAGTAAATACTTACTGAGTACTTACTGAATATAAAAATGAATAAAGAAATATATGGTCTCTCGATTTGCTTATAGCCCTTTGAGTAAGACAGACAAGCAAAGAGGGACTGAATAGTTTCTCATAGTCCTCCTATAGGTACATGTCTCCAGAGTACACATATTTGGAGTTAGGACAAGCTTCCAGGAGAAAATTACATCTGAGCAGACATCTGAAGAACAAGGAGAGTTATCCAGAGATTAGGAAACAGGGGCAAGGAAATTTTAGCTACAGGAAATAATGGAGGCAGATGCAGGGGAAGAGTGAACCTAACATTCTGGGAGTTGAAATAAAATGACATAAAAGTAAGTGATTTAGTTTTAGGAATGATGAAGACACTCATGGCTCATATTTTGTGTAAGGAGTTTGTACTTTATCTTGAGACTAATGGAAAATTGTTGAAGGGTTTTCAGAGAAGTTGATTAGAATTAACAATTTTGAGAGATCATGCTGACAGTACAAGGAAAAAATTGACTTGGAATTAAGTGAGACCAGTTAGAAATCCAGTGTAAGCAATCCGGTGGAAAACTGATAGTAACCTAAACTAGGATAACATGAATTACCAGAAGTGACTCAAAATAAGCATAAAACCTTAACGGACATAACCAGAAATAATTGACAAAATTGTCAAAGAAATGCACGCCACCAAAATCCCAGAGCTCAAATGGTTTTATTGGAATGTTATTTGAAAATTTTTTTTTAGGGTGATGCTGTTTCCAAACGTTTTTTAATGAAAAAATTCTAGTTGGTTTTATCAAGTTAGCATAGCTTTGGTAATAACATATCTGACAATCACACCAAATAAAACAAGCCAAAAAAAAAACCCAAAAACCTCTTAAAATGTATCTGTTAATGTATTTACAAAATTCCTAAGAGGTTATAAGCCAATTAAATATAAAGTTATATTAAAAACACATATCATAGCCAACTAAGATTTATTTTTGGAATGAAAGGATAGTTTGATATTAGAAAACTGTTTACACAATTTGTCACATACATAGGTAACAGAAGAAAATCCATATGATCATTTCAAGATATAACTGTAGGGCCTATTAATATAATTTTAATTTTTTTCATAATTTTAAAAGCTCAACTAGTAAACTAAGCATAAAAGTTCATCTTTATGTGAAAGACAATCCAGTATCATCTAAAATTATATTCCAAGTTAACTTTTAATATAAGCATTTAGTATGTACTCTATATCCTTTGCATTGTACAAAATAATCTCCATCTGCAATCTCATTTCATGTTCTTTATTAATTAATACCCCACTCAATCCCTTTATTCATCCTACCCTGACACCTTTACCTGATTTTTTCAATGATTCTGACTCACCTTTATGTCTTAACTTAAATGTTACTTTTTCAGAGGAAAATTATTTGACCCTCTGATTTAAATTAGGGCTTGCATTTTTTTTCACTCATAGCACCCTTTTTCCCCATTCATAAATCTTGTCACAAGTTACAATTACGAGGTCATATCTTTGTAAACTTTTAAAATCTTTACCTCTCCATTCGAATTTACATTAGGTCAGAAATGGTGTCAAATTATTTCACCACAGTAGATAGAACCAGTACCCTAACATGGTAACTACATATGATAGGTGCTTAATAAATATTTATGGACAAAATACATGTTAATAAATGGCAAAGAACCAGCAGCATCCCCATTAATGTCAGAAACAGATTTCTGTAGCCATTGTTGTTCGTCATTATTGGGAAGTCATAATCACTGAATAAAAAAGGGAAAAGAATGAGAAAAATGCTTTAGAAAGGAGAGATGAAATAGTCATTATTTGCAGAAGTATTTTTTATCTGAACAACCAAAGTAATAAACTGGAAAATGACTAGAATCAATACCAGATTTCAGCTTGATGGCCAGGAATTAATACAGAAATTTGAAATAGATTTATTTATGTTGGCAATAACTAGTTAGAAAATATTATGAAAAAGAAAACTCCTGATAGAAAGGAAAATATAAAAGACTAGGAATAAGTTGACAAGAAATATGAAAGTTTGCAAATGTTAAAAGGCAGAAGGAGGAAAAGGAGAAGACTGCAGTGATTTACTGGGGTCTTGAGGTCTGTGATCTCACTCCTTGCCTATTAACTGTTTCCAGCACCCCCTGTGCTTTGTGGGTCAGTATTCCCACAGCTTCTCTAGAGTCCTTTCAAACTGCTCCATACTTTTTAAACCTCTCCTTACTCTCAGCAGATGAGCTTGACTGCTACTTCACAGAGGAATAATACCATTGGATGGGAACTCCCTTAAATTCCTATTATTTACAAAGAAATGGAACTGCTTCTAAGTCTTTTCCTTCCTTCCTATTGCAATGACTTAGATGTCTTTTCTTCTGTCTAAAAGTAATCAGTAGAACTGTGCAATAGCCCTGGAGAACGTCACCGTATTGACCGTCTTCTCCTTTACTTCTGTGTCCTCCTTTCTTTCTCCTTTTTACTACAAGCTTTATGAAAAAGTAATCTGCACATACTGTCTCAATTTCCTTATCTTTTCTACACTGCTTTTGTTTTGTTTTGTTTGAGACAGAGTCTTGCTCTGTCACCCAGGCTGGAGTGCAGTGGCACAATCTCAGCTCACTGCAACCTCCACCTCCCGAGTTGAAACGATTCTCATGCTTCAGCCTCCCAAGTAGCTGAGACCACAGGTGCATACCAGCAACCCAGCTAATTTCTGTATTTTTAGTAGAGACGGGGTTTCACTATGTTGGCCAGGCTGGTCTCAAACTCCTGACCTCAAGTGATCTGCCCGCCTTGGCCTCCCAAAGTGCTGGGATTATAGGCATGAGCCCCTGTGACCAGCCTCTTTATATACTTTTTATCTCACTGTTTTCTTGTTTTTCACTAACAGTCCACAGAACTGCTCTCTTCAAGGCCATTGAGAACTTCATTGGCATCAAATCATAACATATCTTTTTAGTTCTGTTTTACTTGTCTCCTCAGTGTCACCTAACGGTATTAACAATTCCCCTTTCCTTGAAACTCTTAGTTTGGCTTGAATTATCCCAAGCTCTCCTGGCTTTCCTCCTGCCTTTCTGTTTACTTCTTGGGTCTTCTTTCTTTCTCCACCTTTAAACGTAGCTATTTCTCAGTAGCAGAGTACTAGTCTTTCTTCCCAGGTAAACTTATCAATTCCAATTATGTCAGTTACTATCTATAATACTAGCTGCTCACACATCTACATACTTCTAGCCCAGATCAATTTACTGAGCTCAAGTCCTGAATATCTAGAAATTGCCTCCTGGAATTTTTTCTTGATTCCTCTACACATACCTGAATTTTAACAAAGGTGGAAGCTGTTAAATCACTTTCTCCATGTGTTCAGTTTCTCCTCATGTTCTTGTTTATGTGAGAATGGCACCTCCTTCCAATTTGTCACTTCAGTTTAGTCATTGACTTTGACTCCCCCATCTTTCTCATCATTCACATCTGATCAATCACTGTGTCCTATCAAATCTACCTTAAATACCTTACAAATGTTCCTGCCCCATGCCACTGTTATTATTTCTTATGTGGATTTCTATAACTATCTCATAACTGGTTACCAATACTCCCTTTTCCACCCAATATTTGCTGTCCCCTTCTGCATAGAATGATGATTTTATTCAGGACTGAAAAGCATCCAGCTAAGAGAGAACGTGTCCCAGGCTACTTCAGTGTTAAGACTGGCCAAGCTATCTGGCCAAAGATTCATAGTAGAAGTGTTAAGTGGAAGTGCTTGAGGGGACTTCAGTAAATGCTGTTTGAAGACAGCTAACTTATACAGAGGGGGGGTTTTGTCCTTGCTCCCTTCTCCTTCCTTATATTTAGAAAACAGACATATTACACCATCAGCTGATCTCAAGAAGGGCAGCCATGAGCTAAAATGGTAGAGTGGAAATCTAGAAAGAATCTGGATCATTAAGTTACCATAGCTTCTGGAGCACCTATCCCATGACTTCTTTTACATGGGAGAAATACATTTCTGTTTTGTGCAAGCCATTATGAATGCAGAGAATATCTGCATATTCTTCATATGCAAAGAAATACAATTCTGAGATACCATGTTAAATTATAGTAGTAGTGTAGATAATTACTTATTCATCCAGCCTTCAGCCATCAATTGCACACCCTCCAATAATACAAGAAAAAACAGTCACCAGTATTTGCTGTTAGCAAATGGAATTTTATTTGGTGCCCTCTATCTCCAGTCACAAAGCACTTGTGGGTCTAGCCTTAGATGTAACTCAGGCAATTCAATTAGAGTTTTCCCTTAGAAATATACAGTTTTAAAGTGGAAGTTGATCTTTGTTATTGTCTAAACCCTCTCATTTGATATAAGAAGAAACCGAGGTCAAGAGAAGAACACAGGGTTAATCATTGTCACTATGATAGCATAGCAACAAAACATATAGAATCTAGACCCAAAGCCCGTGGACCGGAATCCTGGTTCCCCCACTTGATAGCTGTGTGACTTTAGACAAGTGATTTAACCCCATGGTGCCTGCTTTCATAGGACTGTTTTCGAGAATGAACAAGTTACAACATGCTAGGCATTTAGAATAGTGCCCAGCATAGAAGGGCACACCACAGGTGTTGGCCAGAACTTTGACTCAAGGCTCTTTCTAATCCTACCATGCTAACTGCCTAAGCACTGGTTAGGAGCAGAAAGCCAAGAGAATGAGAAACCAGACGGTTAAGGTTTGATCGGTTCAACAAAAGAGAGATAACTTTGGAGACAACGGTAATGCTGGGAAAGGAAGATCTAGATTTAGTGCATAAGACAATAATAAGTAGTTCAGGACAACCAGGGAGTGACACAGAAGACTTTAGCTCCTGGAAGATAAGCACTGAAAGAGATATGAAAGAGATATGAGAAGAAGTGGCTGAAAAACTTCTCCTACTTCAAAAATTTCTGAAGGCTCACCATACCTTAATCATTACTAAAGATAATCGGCTTTTGCTTTTTTTAAGTTAAAAGTCAGGAGATAGTGGGAGATTACAAATTGTCCTTAATTCTAAATTCAAATGAACATAGAATAGTTCTCTCAATATTCTTAAGACAGTTTGCAAAACAGGATTAAGAACCCAATCTATCAAATATGGAGAAAGGACAGAAAAGGCTAATACTTTGAGAAACAAAATATATACAGGATTTAGGCATGTAAATTGCTTGTGAGACCTAGATTCTGCATTTTCATCTTGCCCATAAACATTCCTTAAGAAGTATATAACTATGACTTTTACCTCATTAAGGGTTTGTTTAAAGATTTAGATCTGTACCTAATCCATTTCCACATAATAGCTTTGAGGTGCATTTCTCTAGTTTTTGTTAGGAATTTGAAACACTGAGATTTGCATGAGCCAGGATCAGACAAAGATGACAATGCTGTGTTATTGTAGAATGTTAATGCTTAGGAGATTCTATTATGCTTCTGTCATTCAGAATAAGCTAAAGCACCAAGTGCTTTCACATGTGGATTATCTTTCTGTCATCACAGATAAAAGAATGTTGATGCTGTTACTTTCACGAAAACTTTCCATAGAGGATTTTCTACCATTTTCTGTGGACAAGCAAGGCACACATGAGAAGGAACAGAATGCTGATACAGGAAAATAGCTCTTTTCTGAGTTTATGAATAGATGAATGAGTAATGGTTCAAAAAGTACATTTTCTATCATTGAGGAGATGCCTTGAAATTGTGCAAAGAAAGCCCATAAAACCCTAAATAGAAAATTATTGGTTTTTCTACCTAGAGGTGCAACGTTTAGTCTATGTATGACTTTGCCTGCATAAGCGAGCAGGTAGTCATTCCACTCAGGGATTGGGATTGTCCTAATAGTTACTTTTCTTTAAAAAAGGAAACAATTTTTTGAAAATTTTTATTAGAGATGAGCTTCTCAAGTTCCCCTACAATTCTCTGACTTTGTTTGTCATTATACCATTATCTCAGGAAAGGCATGATTTAAAAGGCCCATGGTAACATAAATATTTAGCTTAGTAGGCTGGGCACGGTGGCTCACGCCTGTAATCCCAGCACTTTGGAGGCTGAGGCAGGTGGATCATTTGAGGTCAGGAGTTCAGACCAGCCTGGCCAACATGGTGAAACCCCATCTCTACTAAAAATACAAAAATTAGCTGGGCGTGGTGGTGTGGGCCTGTAGTCCCAGCTACTCAGGAGGATGATACTGGAGAATCACTTGAACCCGGGAGGCAGAGGTTGCAGTGAGCCAAGATCACACCACTGCACTCCAGCCTGGGTGACAGAGAGAGATTCCATCTCTAAAAAATAAACAAATAAATAAATGATATATATTTAGCTTAGTAACATTTCCAAGGGATTCTTGTTAATAAAAATTATAATTGTTGTCATCTACTGTGCTAAATTCCTTACATATATCATCAGATTTAATTCAACAATCTTACAAGGTCAATATTATTATCTGTGATAGCTAATTTTATGTGCCAACTTGACTGGGCTAACGGATGCCCAGATAGCTGGTAAAACGTTATCACTGGGTGTGTCTGTGTGGGTGTTTCTGGAAAAGATTTGAATCAGTAGACTTAGCAGAGAAGATCACCCTCACCAACATGTGTAGGAATTATCTAATCCACTGAAGACCCAAATATAACAGACAGAGGAAGGGTAAATTTGCTCTCTTTTCTTGAACTAGACAATTCATCTTCTCCTGCCCTCAGATGTCAGTGCTCTTGGTTTAGGCCTTTAGACTCAGATCAGAACCTATGCCAATGGCCCCTGTGGTTCTGAGGCTTTCAGACTTGGATTAGAGCTATGCCACCAACTTTCCTGGGCCTCAACTTGCAGATGGTAGATTGTGGGACTTCTCAGCCAATCCTTTATAAAAAAGTCTCTTTCTATATATCTCTACATGTATATGTATCCTATTGGTTCTGTTTCTCTGGACAACCCTGACTAGTATAGATTTTGGTAGTTAGAATAGTTCTAGAAGAACAGAATTTTAAGGATGAGTTTTTTAAATTAGTTCTAGTATTTCTAGAGTTGTCTCTCCAATCTGCTTATACTTTATATCTTGTAAATGAGTTCATATCTTATAGTAAAGAGAGCACTGATGATAGTCCTTGGCATTAACTCTTTATATAGATACATAAAATATCAGCATTGGATACTCCTTATCAACCACTTATAAGAAGCAAGGGGTAAGTGACTCTATATATGACACTTCTGAACATTTTTAGAAAACTAAAGAATACAATAACAGTAGTCAGTTGTTCCTAATTTCACTGGACAAAGTAATGAAAGAATAGGATAAGCTCAGGAACTTGAATTTCCAGCTCAAGCACTGATTAAATAATCCAATAACTTCTAGGTGTGCCCTCAGGGAGAGCCTTGTTTCCTGCAGCCACATGGCTAAAATTGCTGAAAATTCAATGCAGAACCTCATTCTAAAATTAGCTGAATTACAATGCAAATTAAACTCCTAGCCTCACAGGGTATCTACTGTTAAAGTGAGGTCATTGATTGGAAAAGAATGGGATTCTCTAAGTTGGGATGGGGACATGTGGAAAGACCCTGATGAATCTGGGGACATTGAGCCCCTAAATTCTTATGAGTCTTTTTCACCAGAGGAAGAAGTCTTACTACCAGCAAAAGTGGCTTCCTCATCACAGTGATATGGGCTTCTCCACCTCTATCTGAGGGGATTATCTCTGCATTTTGACAGTGGAAATGGTAATGGCCTCCACTGAGGCATTCAATTTAATACTTATTCTCCCAGGACTTACCTCCACCAGCTTTCTTTGCTTCTAGAACTATAACTAGACTCAAGTCCCAGCAGGCCCATTTAGGGGCTTTTAGGTAAAGTACAAAGTATGACCCATAAGAGGTATGCTACTCCAAAAGAACTGCTCAAGCCTTCTAATTTATAGAAGCAGAAATCCAGGGAACATATATGGGAATGGATGATAAGGGGTGGGATAATGGCAGAAGGAGTACAAATTTGGATCAGATTGAATTAATTCACATGAGCTCACTAAGCAGAGATTCTACATTTAATGTTGCAGCTTGGGATGTTAGAAAAGTCTCTCTCTAGTTGATTGGCCAAAACAGGGAGCCAAAAATGGCCACCATGAGTGAATTGGAAATATCCCACCTCCCTTGGCTTAATGTAAAGAAGAAATTGAATTCTTGGGGAGATTGCAGTGATAGACAAGATTTGCTATCTAAGAACTACTCACCCAAAGAGGGACGGTCCCAAAGATGTACCTTTCACCAACCACTTTGAGAAATAAGTTTGTGAGCTTCCTTAAAGAGCTCTGTGATTGTTCTCCTCTGTAGGCTAGACCTTACAGTGGGAGCTGCATCTACTTAATTGAAAAACCTATATGGGGACAGAGGCCAAGTTGTGGCACTCAACCACCAAGGACAAGGTGGACATAGTTATGGTAATGGACGACAGAATCAAAGAAGGAATTAGAATAGTCTGACTAGTGCAGACCTGTGGCATTTCCTTGATAACCATGGTCTAACTTGAAGTGAAATAGAGTAAGGCGGCTCCTAAGTTATTACTCTGTCTGTGTAAGCAGAAAAGTTCTAGGTCAAATGAACAAAACTCTAATTCAAATCATAAAACTATATTCAGGACGCTGCAATCAATTTCCAGACTTGAGCTAGTTTACAGCCCCCAGAACCCCTTGAATCACAGGAAGCCTGGGTCCCCTCAAAGAAGGAATCCAGTTCACTACCAAAAATTTATCTGTTAATCTTTCTCCCAGCCTTCTCCAAAGGAGACTACAACTTTTTACCAAGATAACTGTGCACTGGGGAAAAGGAAATAACCAGACCTTTTGGAGACTACTGGATGCAGCTTTTAATTCCAGGAGAACCCACACATTACTGTGGCCCTTCAGTCAGAGTAGTTGCTTATGGAGGCCAATTAATCAATGGAGTTTTAGCTCAGATCCATCTTACAGTGGGCCCAGTGGTCCCCAAGCCCATCCCATGGTTATTTTCCCAGTTCAGGAATGCATAAATAAAGTAGACATATTGAGCAGTTGATAGAATTCTCACATTGGTTCCCTGACCTGTGGATTGGGGTCTACTTTGATGGGGAAGATCTAGTGGAAGCCATTAGAATTGGCTCTACCTGGCTGGGTGTGGTGGCTCACACCTGTAATCCCAGCACTTTGAGAGGGCAAGGTGGGCAGATCAACTGAGGTCAGGAGTTCCAGACCAGCCTGACTAAGATGGTGAAACCCTGTCTCTACTAAAAATACAAAAAATAGCCAGGTGTAGTGGCAGGTTCCTGTAATCCCAGCTACTCAGAAGGCTGAGGGAGGAGAATCGCTTGAACTTGGGAGGCAGAGGTTGCAGTGAGCCAAGGTCGCACCATTGAACTCCAGCCTGGGTGACAGAGCAAGACTCCATCTCAAAAAAAAAAAAAAAGTATTTGAAGAATTTGCTCTGCCTAGGAAAAGAGTAAACGAAAAGCACTGCTGCATCCCTGGAGGGATTGCAGAGATTAGGGCCACTGTCAAGGACTTGAAAGATGAAGGTGTAGTGATTCCCACCACATCCCCATTCAACTCTGCTTTAGCTGAATCATCCATCTTCTGATCTCAGATATTGACACACCTTGTTCTCTGTGCCTTCAGACTTGGACCAAGACATACATCATTGGGTCTTCTAGGTCTTAAGCCTTTGGGCTTAGTCTGGAACTACACCACCAGCTTTCCGGGGCCTTCAGCTTAAAGACAATATATTGTGTGGCTTCTCAGCTTCCATAATCATGTGAGCCAATCCCTCATAATAAATCTCTTTCTAGGTATCTATATATGTTCTTTTGGTTCTGTTTCTCTGGAGAATCCTGACTAATACACTATCCCATTAAGTATGAGGTAACTGAAATGGAGAGAGACTCAGTGACTAACACACAGTCACCCAGAAAATAAGTAAGCAGGTTCAGGATTTGAATGCAGGTATGTCCAAAGCTTGTTGGAATAACAGTACCCTTTCCTGTTCTCCCCACTCCTCACTCTAAAACCCTTTTCTTTACTGCAACGATACAAATGATGATGATCCCAAGGTACGTTATCAATAAGTTTTTCTTTATGTTCTGGTCTAGAACATTTTCATTTACTTTCCTACATTAGAAAATCAGCCAAGCTCAATGAATGGAGAATCTGTCAGCACATGTATGGGCACACTATGCCAGGCTCTGCATTGCACTGTCCTATTCAGTATTTCCCTAACCCTATGATTTTCCCTGTTTTACAGATTCAAAAATTGAAGTTCTAAGTGAAATATTTGCTCAAAGCTACGCATATAGTAAGCATATATCTTTCACTTAATTAAAATACTCAGTATATAATAAGCATTCAACAAAAAATTATTGATAGTTGAATGAGTACAAATAATGTCATATTTGGGATTTTTAACCTAGATCAGAATTAAAATCTTGGCTCTTTTCCTTATATCCCACTGACTTAAGCTTGAAGTAAACTGAATAGGGTATTGGGTATTAGTAAAAATTTAACTGCTTACTTCCCTGATTGTCCTTTTCTAGAGCCCTCATTATTACCGTTTTGCTAGATACAGCAGATCTCTCCAGAAAAGACTGTATATGTAAGTGTGTGTGTTACACAGCTGTACACACAACACTCAGAGAGATAGACAAACACACACAAACATTCAGGTAGATAGAGAGCTACACATACACACAAGAAAAGGCATGGGCTTAGTCTATTATTATTTCCATGAAAAATATTGAACAATTCTCTAGGAAATCTTTTTAAAACTCTAGGAATCTTCCTAGATTTATGAAATATGTGGGTTAATTCATGAAAGCATCATGAGCTAAACTGTTGGTTTACTAAAGTTCTTGGACCAAAAGTAAAAAAATCACAAACACAAAAAGTAAACGACTATTTGGCATCTCCATTCTCCACAAAGAATATTCTTAAAGTTAATAACTAAATAATCGTGCAAAGATTTTTGTTAGACATTGAGAAAATTTACAATGAGGAATATACAATATGTCTAATAATCAAATGATGTAATGGACATATTATTTAAAACCTTAAAATGTCTGTTATTTTATTAGGAATGCCTAAGTTGTCACTAAAGTTTGATTTCTGTAACGAGGAGTCTAACTATAAAGAAATGACAGGATCTTATCTGCAGTATAAAAAGTATTTTGTTTTCCAATTTTTGTCAGTTTCATTGTATATTTGAGTTAAGGATAAATTCCAGCATTGCGCTTGCGACCTTCATCTCTGACCCTCACTACTTCTCCAGCCCCATCATTTGCAACAACCCTCCATGCAGCCCTTGCATTCAGAATGCACCTGGCTTCTCACAATTCCTTAGCCAGCCACATGTACTTGTATTTCAATGCCTTTACACATGCTCTTTGTTCTTTCTGGAATGCCCTTCCTCATATTTTTCACCTGGCAAATTTCTGTCCTTAATAGACAAATACTTGTCCTTAATTATACCATTTGAATAATATTTCTCCATAAAGTCTTCACAAGAAGGTTCAGCATTTTGCTCCTCTGTTCCTGCAACATTTTGTTCATACCTTTATTGTAGCACTTATATTGTATTGCAAGTTTCCTTGTATATTTCACTTGTTTATTCATTCTTTCACTTACTAATTTAGGCAATAAATAAAATTATCTGCTATATGAAAAATTTGGAAAATAATAATAACCAGCTGCTCTGTCACACTATTCCCACATATTGCTTATTTAAACTTTACCACCTCCTATGAGATAGAAATTATCACTATCTTCCTTTTAAAAATGAGGAAATTCAGTTTTGGAGAAGGTAAGTGTATGCTGGATGATTTGCAGCTAGTAAATAGTGTGCCACAATTTGACCTATTCTATTCTGTTCTGTTCTGTTCTATTCTATTCTATTCTATTCTATTCTATTTTTAGAGACTGGGTCTCACTCTGTTGCCCAGGCTGGAGTGCAGCAGCACAATCGTAGCTAACTGTAGCCTCAGACCCCTGGGCCCAACCAATCCTCCTTGTGAGCCACAATTTTAACACAGATCTGATTGATATCAAAATACTTAGACACTGTCTCTCTGGGCTACACGCTCCTCAAGGTAAGCAGCCAAGGGAACCAAGTTAAGGTATTCAGTTTTATATCTCCAGGGCCTACCAGAGTATACTGGGAATTTGACCAACGTTCTTGAATAAATAAAATAATGAGTAGGCGAATGAATGGATGAACATTATGTAATATAATTTCAGAGGACATGATAGATGTCCTCTGAAAAGTTATACATACATAGATATTAGAAAACAAATAATATTTTAAATATATTAGACAATTTTTCTAGAGGTTCACTTATGGTGAATCTTCTTGTAAAGTTTAAGCTATATCTGGATTTTCACATAGTGAGGTTGCATAAAATGAGGTGTAGCCATGTGGAAAAAAAGAGATCCAGCTCACGCTATGTGTTTCCAGTGAAGTAACTTCCCATTTAGTCAGCACTGTACTGCAACGCTGTGACCACTTGGGGCCCACCCAATGAAAGAGAGTTTGAAACAAGTCCAAAGAAGAGCAATGAAAATAATTAAATGGTTGGAAAATTGTCTGTCTAAATAAAGGTCACAGACACTGGGCCTATTTAATGCAGAAATATGAAGGGGCAAACCTATCCACATTCCTCAAGGATGTGAAAAGAAATAGGCAGAGGTAAGCAGCTGTTTTTAATTTTTATTTATGATAGTAAAAGTACAGAACAATGAATTTCAAATGCAGCATAAAAAGTTTAGGTTAGTCCTTGTAAAGTCCTTATAAAACAATAGATTTAATTAACCCCCAAATTATGGTATTGATTTCCTTGGAAACTTTTGGAAAATGAATCAACTTCCATAGAAGAGAAATATACTATGCCCAGGCCCAACTAGAAGCAGGGGATGGATATTTAGGAATGTGGTTGGAAAAAAGAAATCCTGGGTCTAGTTAAGATTCATGTATATGTGTTGTTCACTTTGGAAATAAAATTATATCCAGCCAACTTGGCTTTTAGAAAAAGCCTTACTTTTTTTCTATTTGTAAATGTGAAATCCAAGTCTCTTATGAGTAAATTATTTTGGAAAATCTATCAAATATTTGGTGAAAAACTTTTTGGCAAGAAACGTTATGGAGTCCTGAGCAATTTCAGCAATGATTTATGAACAATTATCCAAAGGATGACAAACCAATAATGCAAAGGAGGAGGGTATCGGGGGTTATAAAAAACACAGGGCCCACAGAGTAGCTCGTCTGACTGTCTGCTTTCTTTATCTCTGGACAGCAGTGTTGGTGTTGATAACAAGATCGTTTATACTACTCAAAAGCACCCAACACTCTGTCTGTTTTGCCTTTTCACAGACGTAAGGTCTGTGAGCTGGAATTGACTGTAATGGTTTTCGTCTAACAGAGCCATGTGAAAGCTTTAGGGGCTTAGCAATGTTTCTACTGTGTCATGTTACTGTTGCGTGGCTCTAATGTAGTATTAATATGATACAGATGTATTAATTTATTATGGCATCATAGATATTGAAATATATTGGCACAAAGCAGTATGTGGGAAGAGTTATCCAAGTCTGCTGAGACTTCCTCCATGATCCAAAAGAAATCAGTTCCCAGAAAGCAGCCCACTTCCCAGAGAGCAACCACACTGTCTAGACTGCCTAAGTTGGTGGTATGGGAAAAATGCTGAAGGTCAATAATTGAATCGAAATGACATATACCTGACATTTGGATCACCAGGGAAAATAAAAGTCATATTAATTGCAAATGTCAGTAATCCAAAGTGTGGTTAATTTTTTAAAACTCTGTTTTCTCCCCAGAGATCATTTTCTTCAGTTTTTCAATGGAAAAAAAATACATTCAAAAGACGTCTTCACCATACAAGGAATTCTTTGTTCAGACTGGCTACTGACATTCCAAACAAACCTACACTCAAGATAAAGTTATCCTCTCGGAACACTCAGACATTTTTTTTTTTCTTCCCTATCATCAACTTGCCAACATTAAAGGCAGTTCTCACTTTTAGACACAACGTGTTTGATGCAAATGCAACTTAAAGAAGATTACTGTAAGGTCTCGCCTGGCTGGTCTTGTATTACATCCTGATTATGCATGTGCTGTCACATGAGAGTGGAAGCCACCAAATAAGTAGCTATGGTCGGTGAAAAGTGAAATACGAGTCTTTATTATTAAGTGTCCAGTAAGAGGTGTGGTGAAAAGCAGGACTCCCAAATTGAACTGGTGAAAAATATGAACTATCTGCACCTTACAAGAAAATAAGCAAAAACCTTTCTTCTGGACATCTTAAGTAGTCTTTTTTTTTTTTTTTTTTTTTTTTAGAGTTGATAATTAAACTGTGAAAGAGAGAGCATCGATACACTGTCTTCAATTCTTAAGCAGGCCCACTTCTCCACTTTCTAAGTTTCTCACTCTCATTAGCAATATATATTGCATTTAGCTTCATTCCTAGATGGACCATTTGTGAAGCTATTGAATTATTAAAAGCAGGTACCTTTTCATTGAGCCTCAATTTAAGGCTTGAACTTAGAGCTGTTTTGCTGAATTGGCAAGAGGGGAGAAAAGGAAAGTAACAAGACTTTCAAGTAAATTACTACCTAGAACATTTTTTAAAGTATTTTTGGTCAAATCAAATATAGGGAGCACCAAATTCCCAGAAAGAAAGATTCCCTTGAATGTATATTTTTCACAAATTTTGTGGGTCAGCTGTCTATATTTTTCATGAAAGCCTAAAATACTTCAAAATGCTTTCTGCATATTTATATCACTTGTGTAGGCAAGAAGATGAATATAGGTGGCATGAAGATTTTTAGGTGAACATTTTGCTATGTTCCTTCATTTTATAGTAAATTCCCCACAGTTCTTGGCTAGAAGAAAAAAGATATTTATCTTTATGTTATACTGGTCCCTCCTGCTACCAAAAAACTGGAAAATAAATGTCACCCTGGATCCATGAACACTGGTTGAGTGGTTCTGTTCTATCTATCTATCTATCTACCTATCTATCTATCATCTATCTATCATCTATCTATCATCTCTCTGCCTATATCTATCCTTCTGTTTATGAATTGATCTATATACATAATCTCTGGTAATTATAAATTAATGAAGTGCCTACTTTGGACCTAGTGGTAACATATATGATATACCTCTTATATATCCTTTTCTTCCAAGAATGTTCAATATTTTTAGGATGGCACCCAAATTCATAACACAGAATGGAGTCATCAATGCTGAGAAGCTAAACTCGGCACCGAGATGCTTTTGTAGTTCACAGAAGAAATGTTAAAAGGGGAATAGAGTGGAGGGTCCAGAATTGAGAGATACTTTCTGGCATACAAGTAATCAAATTAGGTGAGCTATTGTTTGGGATTCTTGGTGAGTGAGGTAGAGGAGTATGTATTGACTTTTTTACTTATTTAGAAGATTGGATAAAATGACAGTTAATGTAGAAGGAGGTGTATCTTTGGGGGATAAGTTGATAAAAAATAAATCATGAGTTCAGTTTTAGCCAATTATTTCGGTAAGGTATGATGGGAGAAAATGCTAAAAGCCCAGGAAGGGGCCAGATTGTGAAGAGTCTAAGAGCTGTATTAAGAAACATGTTGATGTAATTAATAAACAATGAGGAAGTATGGCAAGGTTATAAGCATGAAAATGGTCTGGCCAGATTTGTGTTTCAGATGCAGCACCCAGGCTGCAGAAGGGCAATGCCATGCAAAGAAACCAACTAGCAATCAGGAAGAGCAGGGGTTTGGTTAGTGAAATATTCCAGGTATACAATTATGATGAACACAACCAAAAGAGTAAAGGAAGAAATCAAGAAATAATTATGAGAAAAAATTGGTAGGATTGGCTAGTTGATTGCATATGGGGGATGAGGGAGAGGAAGTGGTTTAGGATGACTGCAAATTTCTGGCTCGAGTGAGTAAATGAATAATGTTGCAATTAATTAACATAGGAAATATGGGAAGGAAGAGTGGGTTTGGAGAGAGAGAGAAAAAAAATTTAGATCCACTTTGAACATGTTGTCTTTGGACATGATGAGGCAGACATCCAAATGGATTTAACTAGGAGATGGTGAAATATATGAATCTGAAGGTCAAAGGAGATACCAGACTGTAGACCTACAATACAAATTGACAGGATATAGTTAGTGGGAGTCAAAAGCAAGTGAATGGGTTCACTTAGACTAAAAGTAGAGTGTCATACTTAGACAACAAGTAGAGTGTCATCAATAGTCAGGCAAGGCCGGGTGCTGTGGCTCACGCCTGTAATCCCAACACTTTGGGAAGCTGAGGTGGGTGGATCACCTAAGGCTTAGGAGTTCAAGACCAGCCTGACCAATATGGTGAAACCCCATCTCTACTAAAAATACAAAAATTAGCCAGGTGTGGTGGTGCACACCTGTAATCCCAGCTACTCAGGAGGCTGAGGCAGGAGGGTTGCTTGAACCTGGAGGCAGAGGTTGCAGTGAGCCAAGATAGCACCACTGCACTCCCACTCCAGCCTGGGCAACAGAGCAAGACTCCATCTCAAAAAAAAAAAGGGAAAGCCATTGGTGGAGGTTACCTAGGGTTGAGATTTGGTGAGTGTGCCAGGGAGAAGGATCAGAGAGGCTAACAGTAAAAGTTGTCTGTGGAAGGCCAGGTCAGAAAGGAGAGACATGAGTCACCATTTGAGCATGGGAAGGTGCTGAAGAGGACAGTGAATAAATGTTAGGTTAAATGGGGAAGGGTACAAGTAAAAACTTGTGATGAAGGCAGGGAAGTACAGAGTTAAAGATCTCAGAACAAGTATTGACTTATGAAGACAAAGTTCAGGCTGCCTGGATTGGGAAGTAATGAGCTGTAGGTCCTTGGGGCCGGGAGTGGAAAGGAACCAGATCAAGGAATCTTCAGGGTCAAAAGTGTAAGCCTTGAAGTTACTGAGGAAGATTGTAAGAAACACAATGGAAAGAAAGGTTTTTCGCCAAGTCCTTTATGTAAGTTGAAATGAATTCCAGGGTGTGGTAGACAATAGCTGTGATGTTTTAAGGTCACATAGAGAGAGGCAATCGCCTTAAAGTGATGAAAATGGGAGGTGCTTCAGAAGGCAAGGTCTCTTCACCCCACCTGTTAACATGTGAACATAAAAGGAAGTAAAATAAAATAATGTCTCTCTTTTTGGTGTACACCATACTTGCTCACACAGCTAGTTCACTGATCAAGAAATAGTGTACAAAGATAAGCCAATTCTCACTGGAACCCCACTTAATCAGGGTCAATGGGAGGTGAGATATCTATAGGAAAGGATAGTGAATATTCAGATTCTTTGTGGGAGAGCAGTGTTTTCATTCATGAGAAAACTTTTTTTTTAAAGATGATAACGTTGTCTTAAATAGAGAGGAGGTAGTACTCCACTAGGTACAGTGGAGCAGAATTGTTAAAGGAAGAACATTTCAAGTTCACAGATGCAGAGAAATAGACACAGATGTAGACATGAAAGCATACTGCACAACACCAAGCCCAACTCCACCATGCCAATGGAATATCTTTGTGGCAGAGTTTCCATAAACTATCTCATTTAGCCCAGTATTTAGAGGAGACTGGTATTGATATTTGTCCAGCTATGGCCTGCCTGTGAAGTGCTGAGGAACAGTACCTGGTGGAGAAAGAAATGGCTCTCTTGCCAGTACTTTTTCAGCTTTGTGCAGGTCTGCACTATTGAACTCGAACAAGAGTTATGGTTATCATAGTGCTTGGAGGCATTCTGCTATCAAGCATTTAGAAAAAGTTCTAATTTTCTCCAAAGAGAACTGAATGATTTTTAAGATCTGGCTGAATAGGTTGTAATCTTAGAAGATACTGTGTGGAGTTTATATCCCTAACCAGAAAATTAAACATGAAAAAAATCACTCTTTATTGTACGCTTAATTCCAAGCTAATTTGATAAACTATGAAAATAGAGAAAAAAATTTTTAAAACTGGGTCCTGCTGCATATGTAATCATATTTAACTGAATTGTTTTCTTGTTTGCCTAAATTAATCAGAAGAGTTAAACTGGTTGTTTCATTGTTCCAATACAACAGAACATGGTGTGAACATCCCTCTTCCATTTGAAGGCTTAGTGGTGCAAGTGGTTTTCTGTTTGGACTTTGAAGGAAAAGAGGGGACTAATTCAGCAGATGGGGACTGGAAGATTTTTCTTTCATGTTTCAAATACAATATGAAGTGAACTATGAAGTTAAGCAGCCACAATTCTTTGCAAAGGTCAGCTGGTCTCAACTGATTTCATGTTCTCGCCACAAAGCACTCTTGATCTAAAATGGGTTATGTGGAAAAAATCCGATGCTGCTCTATCCATTATTAACTTATTTCAAATATTTGCTTCAATTCCAGGATAATAAACATAACCTTAACTTTAAGGAATTCTTTCCCAGCTGTAATCTATGCTCTAATTATCTGTGTTAAATTCATACATTATTTTTATTTTAATTCATTTCAAAAGTGTTTGCATTTTTTGCTGGGGTTTTTTTTTTTTTTTTTGGCTTCTTTTATTATTGTCTTTTTTCTTTTGGAGACTTTTCTTTGTTCATTTGTTTTCATTCATTTTTGGCCAGAACAGCAAGTAAAGGATTTTAACATGGCAGGATAGAAATAACAGTGTTCCAAGTAAATTGTGAACATTATTAACAAATCTTTTTTTTCCTTTTCTTCAGAATAAAGTAATATATATGTGCTTTTCTGATCACACAGAGGGAAGACAGTGAAACAGCCAGTAATTATTAAATACCTATGATTTAGTCAATAAACATTTATTTAAGACCTACTATATATTCAACATTATTCTAATTATTATGGTGAATACAGAGAAACAAGGCTATGGTTTCAGCCTTCAAAGTATTTGTCACTTTATTCATCTGACAAGATTAAATAATAATTGGAGTAACAAGGAACAATTTAAGACAGTGTGAAACCAGATATTAATCCCCAAATGGGAGGTCAATGCAGGTTAGGATTAGCCGGAGAAAGCTTAATGAAGGAGGTAGAACTCAAATACTAGTGAAGTTAACTGAATGGTTGGGTAGGATCTCTATTGTCAGGATGGGAAGTAAAGGAAGGAGAAATAATGAAAATAAGTAACAACAACAGCAGTAAGAAGGAAAAGGAGGAGAAGAGGAAGAAGAAAGGAAAGAAAAAAAAGAAGGAAGGGGCAGAAGAGAGAGGAGGAAAAGGAGAGGAAGGAGAAGTGAAACTTACATTGAGTGTTTATGATGCTCTAGGAACAATGCTGAGTGCATTATATGGTCTAAAATATTTGTGATCTGCTCTGAGTAATTTCACTTGAGTTTCTTCACCTACACTACGACACTTTTCAGTATTTTTCCACTCGTGGGATCTTCTTCTTTTAGCCATCCGTAATCCCTTCACAGGTCCCCCTTACAACAAATGCCACCCTTTTACAAGAATAACAGAGAGGCAGAGTGAGCAAAATTGAGAAGCAGAACTCTTTCTCCTGGGAACTCTTCTGTGCTTCTTCTTTCTTTTGTTATTGGTACTTTCCTGCCATCAGATACCAAGGTCCAACTTGCTTCCCTGGGCCACATAAGGTAACCACAGTTTCTTTTTTTAGAAACTGTGCTGTATTTCTTTCATCTTGGCCTTTTTCCTTTATCACAACTTGCATCTCTAGAGTCCCATTTCCTCGCATTTCTGCATAGTGGGGGAAAATCCTGTAGACAAATTTGAGCATTGATGGGCCATTAATACTTGATAACTTCCAAATTATGTTTACATTTTAAGAGGAACTTTATTACTTAAACCCAAATGAAAGAGTAAGGAGAGAATATAAAAAACAAGGATGAATACAATGTTGTCTATACATATTTTGGGAAGAAATAGAAGGAGAGATCATTACTGTGCAAACCGTCTAAACAGAAGCATGCAATTTATTTCATCATAAACCTAACTCACAATAGGCCATATGGAAAAGCTTATCTCCACGTTGTTAAAGATAACGGGACATCAGTGGGGACTGAACTTATGACCCAGACCTCCTTAACACTCAATTTTAACAGCAAAAGCACTGTAGGAGGTGTCAGCTAAACCCTGTGTCTGTACACTGACTCTGCAACTCTCTGTAAAGGGAAGTAGACCTGATTATCTCTTGGATTACATCTCTTTCTCTTTTTGAACAGAATGTGAAGGTAGGAGCTGGAAGTAAAAGAGTGAGTTATGTGGGACAATATTATGGCTCTATTTTACCCACAGATTCGGGGCTGTTTTATCTGTGACTTGTGTCACATATAACTACGTTGGCCTACGTGGGGATTCTTACCAGGTATGGACATACAGAAAATAAATCTAACAAATTCCCTGTAGAAGAGAAAGCCAGTCTATATGAACTTCCATATTTTCTTTTGAAAGACATGCTTACCTCCAGGTTAAAATTTATCAATAGCTACTGAAATACCTTAAAAACATTTTAGAGGGAAAGAAAATAATATTCTTTCTGCCAATGAATCATCTATAATAAAAAATAATTTTTGACAGCCCAAGATAGAACTGCAGAGACTGTTAAAGTCACTGTTTGTGTTTAGAATCTGGGAAACTAAAGACAAATCTTTAGGGAACAGATGATACATCCTAAGGGTTACATGCTGGGGACCCCGTCTGAGAGCCATCCTTCAGAATTGCTGGTATCCACTGCTGTGGATGTTTAATGATTGGTTAGAGATATTTCACTGGTGTTTTTTGTAACATTTCTGGTTCTTTTTATCCTTTGTTTTTGTGTCTCCTGGCCTTGCCAAATTCAGCTGCTTTCATTCCAGAACAGGTGTGGGATGATGGCTTGGTCTCTCACGGCAGCACCCTTGAGGATCCTCACTGCCTGTGCCGCACCAGTAGTATCATTAGAGTCAGACAGAAAGGAAATGGAAAGAAGGAGATTTTACTCCTCTGTAGCTATTGTTGCTCTTGGCAGGGTGCTACCAGGAGGCCTAGATATGTACCACTTAAAGCTTAAATACTACAGCTCATTCTACCAGAGAGCCCTTTCAACACAAAAGCTGAAGTCAACTATGCTCCTTTATGAGGTGACTCATCTCAAATGATAAATACAGTGTGCCTCCCCCACACAAGAACAGATGTGGCAGATATGCCCCCTATAGAGAATGCTTTGCAAAAGCTTTGGGACTGCAGAGATTTTGTTCCGAAAATAATGCTTCGCATTTCTCCACCATTTTCCTCCAAAGTAGTCACAGCATTTGGGACGTTGGGGAGGGGAGGGCATATCATGCCAAGTAAGTGATGTGAGGCTCAGCTGAAGGAAAAGTGTCCACCCAGTGTTGAGCCAGCAAAGACTGCAAGGGGTTGTTAACACAATCTGGAAACTCCTCCCCTGGAGATCCTTAAGACCCATCCACCCAAGGTGGCTTCTCTCAAGCCTGCCAACAATCCACAGCATGCACTGGGTGATTTTTGAGGCTATTTTCCTCCATCAGATGAAAGGAGATGCGTGTAACATACCCACAAACAATACTTTTGCCCACTTGGTTCCATCAAATCTTACAAAATCTCTAGAATATGAGCAAAAGAAAAATTACATTCATTATCTTTTTCTGTCTACATTATTTATTTTTGTATTTATATTTAGACTGTTTCATAGAAAAGTAATGCTTATCTGACTGCCTAAGCTTAATTAAGCCTTTGCAACATGGTTTTTGAAAAACTGGCTTCTTCCCAAGATGCTCCACCTGCCACCTGGCGCAACTGCTTCCACTGGTTGATTTGCTGCCATAGTTAAAGACATGGTTAAATATTCCCAGGGACCCAGAAATCCCACATTGCAATGTGAAAACTACCATTCTCAGTAGGCATATTCCATTCTCAGAAATCAGTCCTTACCCAAGAACATGAGAATATTTAAGACAGGTTTTATGGAACAATGGAGAGTTCAGAACAATGAACTCTCACTTACAGTCCTATCGGAATTCTGTTCCAGGCATCTCCACTCCCGCACACGCACTGTGAGATGCACTGTGATGCTTTTCAAATAGCCAGGCCTTAACTAAAGTGGAAAAGGTGCTTTGTAAATTTCCATTTCAAAAGTTGCCTGAAGGTTTGTGTTGCATGGTAATGCTTCTATTTAGCGGTACATGCATAGTTTTAAATTTTCTAGAGAAGTGTGTTAAACTATTTTGGTTATGGCTTCAATAGATGTCAATTAATGTGTTTCATGTACAAAAACTAGAAAACTTTAAAGAATGAGATAAAGATGAAATAAACATATTTAATATTGTACTAATCATGGTGGCTTTATGCTTTAACTAATACATCCAAGAAAAATATGTTAGGACAAGGTTCATTGTTCACTAAGGTAGGCATAAATCTTGAATTTAAATGGCTTTTCTGACAATTTTTTTTTACTAACTTGTCAGATATTAGGCTGTCGTTTTCTTTACTTAACTGAGGAATAGCTCTTATTTGGAAAAGAGCTATCAGGGCAACCATTTTCTTACAGTATCCAAGTGCCTGTTCTATTAAGATTATCTTAAATTTAGGTTTACTTTGCAAAAATATTTTGAAGTCACTTGCCCATTTTGTGAAGACTAGTTTAGTAAAATCTGGATAATAAATAATTCTGTTCATTTAATCATGCATATATAAAACTATAATGCACAGCAATATCTCAAAAACAAAAATTCAAATGATTGCATCACATTTAAGCACACCATCCAGCTCCTGGTTTCTCACCACACACTTTTAGGATGTGGTGACTGACATGCATATGTGGTGAGGATGCCAATGTCATTCCACATGGCAAATTAGTAGTGTTTTACCATTAGGAAAGTGAAAAGACAAGCCACAGAAAGGGAGAAGATATTTTTTAATACATATACCAGCAAAACCTCCGTCTTAGTCCATTTTGTGTTGCTATAAATGAATAATATCTGGGGCTGGGTAATTTATAAAGAAAAGTGGTTTATTTGGCTCATGGTTCTGCAGTTTTTACAGGAAGCATAGCACCAGCATCTGCTAAGCTGCTGGTAAGAGCTTCAGGAAGCAAGAGAGATGGGGGCAGCGTCATGCTCTTTCTAACAACTAACTCTCACAGGAACTTAAAAGAAGGAGAACTCACTTCTGAGAGAGGGCATTAATCCATTCATGAGGGATCTGTTCCCGTGACTCAAAAACTTCCCACTATTTGTCACCTCCAACATTGTGGATCAAATTTCAACATGAGATTTGGAGGAGATAAACACGCAAACTATAGAAGACTGGTACAAATAATTCTTTCAGATCAATGAGGAGGGAGAACAACAACCTAATCAAGAAAACAAGCAAAATACTTGAGCAAAAAAAGAATTGTTTAGATGGCCATGAAATTTTTTTAAAATTGCAAAAATCATTAGTCATGAGGAAACTAGAAATTAAAACTACAGTGCAATAGCACTACACACACAAAAGAATTATAATAAAAAATTGACTATATCATGTGTTGGTGAGGATGTAGAGCAACTAGAACTTTCATATAATGGCTTTTGGGAGTATAAATTGGTACAATCACTTTGGAAAACTATTTGCCACTACCGACTAAAGCCTGATATATGCATATTTTATAACTCAGGAATTCCACTCCTACAGATTTATCCAACAGAAATGTTGATAAACAATACTTTCATAGAGGCACTATTTGTGAGAGCCAAAAATTGGCAACACCAAGACAATCTAAATGCTCATCAATAGCAGAATGAACACACTTATGGTACAGCCACACATTAGAGTAATATGCAACATTAAAAATGAATGAACTACAACATGTGACAATAGAGATAAATTCACTAACATACTGACAAGCAAAAAAATGCCAAATACACTATCATACATACAGAAGATACTATTTACGTAAAAATGCACAAAAAGACAAAACCAGCTTATGGTATTAGAAGTCAAAATAGTGATTTCTCTTGAGGGGTAATCATGGGAAGAAGATATGAGGGAGGAGCGTCTTCTGTGGTGTTGATAATACCTGTCTCTTGATCTATGTTAGCAATGTATGTGTGTTCACGTTGAGAAAATTAATCTAACTGTATACCTTTCATTTGTATACTTTTCTGTATGTATGTTATACTTGAAAATATACCCCAAAAAAACTGAGTAAAGCTCAATTCATTTTCTAACTTTTAGAGAAAAATTAAAATAAATGACAATATTAGTTGTTTCCTTTTACACTCTCCTGGCTGATTTGGTGAGTTACTGTGGAGCAGGCACCACCTTTTTGACACCCCTGGTCCACAGTGAGAGGACAGTAAGTAGAACAAATTTCCTCCCAGCCAATAGTTCTACAAAGTTTACAAATTCTGGTCCAAAAGAAAAATAAATGCTGATGATCCAGGGAATACAAACACTGTTTTTCCAAATAGTTTAGCTCTTGCCCCTTCCCCAGAGACCACAGTTGTGTTGGTCAGCTTAGGAACACTGGGACAAGGAAAAGAGTGAGTACTTCTCATCTTCCCATACTACCTTTCTCTAGACTCAGTACTGGCTGATCAGAAACTCTTGCCGTTTTAATTGAATCTTTACTTTGTTCTATCCCAGTAAGACCAACCATCCTATTTTTTCTACATTGGGACAAAATATGCATTACATATAAGTCACTGTTTCTCCCTCTGTGGATCTCCCACAATAGCTGAAATTCCTTACTTACATGCCTCAAATATGAAAATGACCTTTGCACTTCTTTCTGCCCACTTAATCACAAAACAAAAAAGTTATCCTATTAACATTTGTCAATACATTCATCAATTAATCCATATTCAATATTTATTTTCTGTTTTTTTCCAAGTATTCTGCGAAAACCTAATAATCTAACCATGAATAAGAAATTATGATTCTTGTTCTTAAGGTTCTGTAAGTGTTCAGGTTGAAATTTTAGGTGTTGTTTAATTTTAAATATATTTGTTTATAAAGATAATAATATAACCTATTAGATAGAAATCATTTACTAAGGATAGTGAATGATTTTTTTTGCATTTATTAAGCTAAAATAGGTACTGGAGACAATTGTGCTATTGTCAGACCATCTCATTGGCTAAGTTTGTTGAATATTAGAACAAAAAATATTTTAGGGGGTTTAAAATAATAAAGAGTAAAGCCAACAAAAAGGCCCTTCTTATCCATCACCAAATATCATCTTAATGACATGAGCATAAATGAATGAAATAGAACAATTAAATTTTTCTTAAATACACATAAGTTTACATGATAACAGGAAAACCCGGGTGGAATGCATTTTCATTTTTAATGAAACCAAAACATTTGTTCAAAAGATGAATTTAACATCCAGCAGGCTTTTCAGCCACCCTCATACTTACTCAACAACAGTGAGTGATAATCTCAGTCTTTGAACAGTGTACCATTTAGCAACAAGCTTGCCTGATCACCTCAATGACTCTGCTTAACAAATGATATACTTCTTTTTCTAAGAATAAATTATAATTAAAACTATTTGTAAATATAAGTGAATTAGAAAATTCTAACCATTAGTTATCAAGTTTTATACATCAAACCAGACATCCTCTCTTTTTATAAAGTGAGTGAATTACAATTGAAACATAAAACCACACCTGTAGATTCCAAGATATAAACTCAGTATGATTTACAATAAGTTGATAGTGCTTATGCTCTAATTACAGTGCTGTTATCACTGCCGTGGAATTATGTAGTATGAGTTGAGCAGACTGTTAAGCACGCTGAAGTTTTCCAGAAAAGTCTACATGACACTGAAGAAGTAATAAGATGGGTGTTTCTTTTTTGCACGCTATGATATAACTGCCAAATAAATCAGAGATGACAATAATTTACACTCATTCATTAATCTCTCCTCCTTTTTCTCCTTTCAGTGTTTGTTGTATGCCTATCATGTGCCAGACATGGCCAGGGTGTGAGTATACCAAGTGAATTAAGTGAAATGCTGTCTCAGCTCACAGTCTGGTGAGAGAGACAGACATGTAAACAAATAATTACAGTGCAATTGGAGAAGTGCTGTAAGAGAGGAGGAATGCACTGTTAGCAGAGATGAAGGAGATGATAATTTCACTGGAGTGGGAAGATTGGGGTGGGTAGGAAGAAAAGTCAAAGAAAGCTACAAAGAAGAGAGAATGTTTGTGTCTGAAAGTTAGTCTTGAGAAAAATTGGATTTGATTATTCAGCTACTTAAAACAACAGATTAAAAGTAATATATTACACATAATATTAATAAGAAACAAAGTTTCTTTTCTTCTGTTACAGGACCGTGTTCCTTCATGAGGCTGTCCCAAGCAATACGACATTTTCTTGTCCTTCACTGAATATTGTGCATCAGCTGGATTCCTTTTCAAAGGGTGCCTAGTAAATATCATAGACAATTCTTTCATCCACCATTTTCAGTTTAGAAAACCCTATCTACTGCAATATTGTTGGACTGAGCCAATTGTTCGCAACTCTTTTTCCTAGACCAATAAATATCTCTAATCCCAAGTGTTACGGGCAAAGAAAAATGTAATTATCTTATTGACGACAAGAAAGCTACAAACATGAGCCCAAAAGGGTCAAGCTGCATATTTCATACTAACATGTAATTTATTCATATAGTCTTGTACCTTTCCAGGCTACAGAGGATCTAGAAATCTTTTAGCACAAAAAGCAACAAGGGATTATTACTTTTTACCAATGTTTTCACATTGTGTTATTACTATCGTCACCAACCACAGATTCTCATTACTCTTTCCTCTTCATATTTGAAAGGTGATTTTAAATCTCTCTCTAAACTCTCCCCTAAGTCATCATCCTAAAGGAGTTAGTAGCCATTTATTCATGCACCAAAAACAGCACAAAGGAAATAGCAGTTAGTCATCCTTTAGTAGTTCATGCTAAAAGAAAACGCAAGGATTTATAACTCAGTTTTCAAATAGGTGACCAGCAATCTTTGTTGCAAATTCATATAGACACTTTCTAATAAATCAAGCTGTCAATATTTCCTAAGTGTCAGTTTTGTGCTGAAAACTATACCAGCTATATTGGGAAGTACCTAGAAGTGTTTACAATCAAATGGGAGGCTCATGTTATATAATATGCTTAAGAGAATCAGAAAGTGAAAGAAAGGTAAACCCTTAGGATACAAGGACTAATGATATGAACACATGGTTCCCTCACCAACTAATTGAAACAAAAGACCTAGCCAGATCTATCACTTAGATCAAATTTATAGATAACCTTCTGTGAACTTAAACATATTACTCACCATTATCTCCAAGTTCCTCCACCTTATTGCTGAACTTACCTATACAAAAGAAGCTACATTTCATTTACGCTTTTGTGTCATTGTAATGAAATCAAGAGTATCACTATAAAGATTTCAGATCATATATGGTCTGGGTGGAAATATTTAAAACAAGCCTTAAAGCAACCAACAATTTTTTTTAAAGGAAGGCAGGGGAGGGGGTGCCTTGGGAGAATGGGGGCTGTAACCAATTCTGTGAGGCAAGTGAAGTCTTGTTATAATTAAGCTTGTAAAGTCCCAATTCTACTTCAATAAAACAGCATGAGGCTCCAGCTGGTGGCCAGCTGCTCCCCAGACCTTTTCCAGACCAAAAAATATTTTTAAAATAGCCCCATAGCATAAGCCTTATAGGTTTGTTTTAACCAAATGTCACTTGTCTAGATAAATTAAACAATGCCAGATATTGAGTTATCTGAATATTCAGAAAACTAATGCCTCCTCAATCAGTGACTATACCTACATTGTTTATAAATATCTTTCTCTATTCAGATGTATCAATATAAAGAGGAACATATGGCAAAATTTTATATAGCTCATTTGCGGAAAACTTGGACATAGTTCAAGCTGGATAACCTTTAAGAAGCTTTTATTCTTTTGGGTTACACAGTTCCTACCAAAGTATGCCCAACCTCTCAAAGTTGCATGTCAGGACTGAAAAACTGAACAAAAAAAAAAAAATTGCAAGAAGACATTACTAAATTTATGAATGGAAAAATCTCAGGGAAATTTAGCAAGGTCTAAGATTGCAACATGTTTGGACCAAGAATTAAAATATTCTTTTCTGCATAATGAGGAACATCTATAATTTGCATTTTTATTGTTGTGTTGACCTATGAGTTAGTTCTGCATAGGTAACAAAGGGTTCACAGAGAATTTTTGAAAATCTTGATGGATGGGTTAAAAATAGAGCTGACTACAATCCAAAGCTGAAAAGTAGGTGGTGGAAAAGAAGTGGAATTAGAAAAGTAGCAAAATGGGATTTGTTTTATTTTTTATTCTCTTTCCTCATGGAAAGTGACAGCCAGCCCCCGCTGCTCTCAGAAGGACACCGTGACTAAAGAGGCTTTGTATTTATAAATGTAGGACACGCCCTTAAATCAAATGAACTGTTATTCTTACTTTCCTAAATCAATTAAGAAAATAATAAGGGAGAGTTGGAAACTGGTTGAGAAAAAAAGGGTACATTTCAACAAGGAATATTCATTCATTCACTCATTCATCCTTTCAGAAAAAGAATAAATATGGAGCACCACTCTGAGCCAGATACTGTGAACACAGAGGTGATCTGCTGTTCTCATGTAGTTTACAGTCCAATAGGGGGCATAATTATAACACATGAATCATGACAAATCCAAAGACACAGGGTAAGCAAGACACCATGAGGGTACTAAAGAGGGCAGATAACCCAAAAAGGAAGCCAGAGGACTGGTCAGTACTGGAAGTGATGACGCGCATGATAAAATGTGAAGGTTGACTAAGAGTTAAGCAGACAAAATGGTGGACAGAGTTTTAAAGGCAAAAGCAGAGGGCACGAGCAAATACTCAGAAGTGAGAACGGCTGCAGCAAAATTGAGAAACTAAGATATTCACTATGACTGAATAACAGATTGTAAAATGAGAAAGTGAGAAGATACAAGACTTGAGAAGGAAAGAAGAGGCAGATCATGAAGAGACTTGCAAGCTCGTGAACAACGTATCTTATGAATCAGTCATGAGATTTAGAAACAAATGACCCAAACTTGAGACTTACTACTTGTTAAGACATTCAAAATATACCTATAAAGCCTTAGCTTCCTTATTTATAAACTGATGAGATCAATCCTGTTTCACCTACTTCACATGGCTATTATAAGGACAAAATAAGATAACACATGAGAAATTATATATAAAGAAGTATATTATGCATATAGAAGCATGACAGGAGTAGGTCAAAGACAGTGCAGTTGACAGAGGGAAAAGCAAGAGGAGAAAGGAAACCTGATTGTTATCTTTGGGGTCTAAAAAAGGAAATTTATTTTGAATGAGCTAATTTTTTTACCCTTGCCTGCAATAGCTGCAGAGTTTATCTCCTTCTGTAAATCTCTTCCTCTTATAAATGCCAATTCTTGTACATTTGTTTCTATACTCTTCTTCCAGGACAACGGGACCATTGCCCATCTCCCTTCATTTTTCGTCTAGAACTCCTTGACCTATGTGTAGCCACCACACGGTGGCAGGTAAATGGAAGGATAGTGAGAGGAGTATAGTGATTTCCTGACAGCCCCCACAGGAGGGGTCTCCAGAGGGAGACCTCTGCGAGAAAACTTCCCCTGGTCTATTTTCACTTACTCGCTGAGATTTAGCCAGATCTCAATTTCCGTTCACCTAATTAGGAATCTATTCCTGAGGTTTAAAATTTTCTAAAGCATTTGAAAGGAAGTCAATTTGTTACTTTATGTCTTATTCTAACATAACCAACACATGTTCTCACAAGGGACTGTAACAGTAACATCCGTATGAGGAAAATGTGTTAAAAGATTTTAAATGAATCTTGCGTATACAGATGCCCTGAAAAGTGGCTACAGAACCTAAAATATGTCATAAGCAGCCCCCACTGCCTAGTACAAGAGACAGTAGATAAGTTCTTAAAGGCAACACATCTGGCCTTGGTGGGAAATGCTGACATCAAGACCTTTACACAAAGTGGGTGGTTTTGACCTCGGGATATAAAAGTACATTTTAACAATGTGCTCATAATAGGATAAAAATGTATTAGTCTTTCTTCAATGATTCAATTTAAGTATTTTTAAAATCAGTATCTTGGAGGCCAATCAAGTGATCACTTTAATTGCATTAAGCCTGTCAAGTCATATCTTCTATTTTTTTTACTTTTATTTAATTTAAAAAATATAAGTCTGGAAAGATATGTAATCCCTGTCCTCAATTAGCTTAAAATCAACTCTTCCAAATTTTCTTCCACCCCTCTAATGAAAACAATACAATTTTTGCACATAATTAAAGGGTAATGGTTATAGCAGTAGTAGCAGCATGGAGCCCAAATTTATCAAGTGAGAGAGAAAGACATCCCCCCTCCTCCCTGCCAAATGTCACATGAGCCATATGGAAGACATACACAGGGGAAGATATTTTGGCCAGATGGAAAATAGAGAGGGAGCTTTAGGTAACAATTTGAAAGTGGGAGAGGGCGTCAGTCCTGGCTCAGAATAGGGACAGCTACTGTAAAAACAAAAACAAGCTATCAGTGATTGAACAGAAAAGCTTATCATAAAGTCTAAGACAGATGTTTCTGGCCAGAAGTTATCTGGGAAGGTCTCTCCTCAACCTTCTTTTCTTGCCATGAAGTTGAAAAAGAGTGAAAATCACTTATGACCAAGCTCAGAAATTGTTTATGACACTCTGCCAACATTCCATCAACCTGAATTCCAAGATCAGACGTATATGCAAGGATACCAGGAAATATAGTTTAGCTGTATGCCCAGAAAGAAGTGGACAAGATACCAGCAAACAATGGCAGTCTCTTCTAGGCCTGGGAGAAGTGAAGTCTCCTCAAGGCCAAAGAGAGATGGAAAGGAAACATAGCACAGGAACAAAGGAAGGGGGAGGCTCTCTAAAGGAATCCTGGAGAAGCAGACATACCGAAATGACTTCTTTCTTTCTCCTTTTCTTCCTTCTAGTGACCCTCAACCTAGACTTTTCTTTCACTTTTTGTCTTATTCTCTCGTTCTCTCAGACCCTTGAGACACACCCCAAATATCCACCACTCAATAGCTGCCCTTCAAATTTCAGGCAAGAAACTTCATTCCTTAACATTTTGCTTTATGTTAAAATAAAAATATGTTACATATTTCAGACATTAGATAGAATCACTCAGTTTCCTAAGCTCAAAATAAAATTATCTCAAGCTCCCAGCTTTTCCGTCTTGTCACAAGTACCTCCCTATATTTCTGGGAATTCTGGTCAGGTAATGGCGAGTTCCATGGTAACTTGCAGCTTCCACTGAATTCTTGTTTTTTACTCAAGACTTGTAGCATTGTTTTATTTCTGCCCTTGCATAGATAGGTCTAAACCCAGCCCCTTTACTTGATTTTCATAGGAAAATAGACACACATATACACAACATGTAAGTCAACAGACAACACTTCCAAGAGGTCTCCTTGTGAGCAGACCAGGAGTTACTGATAATCTGGGTGTCAGAGGAGCTTTGCATTGCAGAAGTGTGTTGAAGTTAAAACTGAGTATGGGGCATCCCTTTGGCCATTCCAGCATACTGCTCATCCAACCACAATATCTTATTTCACTGTATCCCTCTCTTGTCTACTGTGTTACCTCCCTCTCTAGACAGATAACCACGCAACCACTGGCATTAACATTAGTAAAGATCAAAGATTCAAAGGCACAGTGAAGTACCATCTTCCTTCCCAAGTCCCTGCAAGTGGGGTGAGCAGCAGGGGGAAAGGAAGAAGTTACAGGAAGGATAATATAATATTCCAAAAAGGGGAAGAAAGTGTTTTCTCCTTCCAGTGTTACTTCTCAGCAGTAATAGTTTAAACTGAATGTCAGTCATTTACGATTCAATATTCAGGACTCCAAAACCCTCAAATGGAATAAGATTCAAAGGCTCTTCTCTCAAGCCATCCTGTAACAATCTCTTCTTACTCATTATGCTCTAGCTCATTACCTCTGCCTAGAACACCTTTACCCACTTCTTCACTGGTGTCTTCTACTTTTTAGTCCTAGCTCAAATGTCTGTCCTCAGAAATCCCTTCCCTGACCTAAAGTATCCCCTCCCTGTCCATTTATCACATTATATTGTTTTACAGGCATACCTCAGAGATATTGTGGGTTTGGTTGTAGACCACTGCAATAAAGTATTATAATAGAGCAAGTCAGACAAACTTTGGTTTCCCAGTGCATATACAAGTTACGATTACACTATACTGTAGTCTATGAAGTATGTAACATTTTGTCTGAAAATAATATACATACCTGAATTTGAAAATGCTTCATTGTAAAAAAAAAAGCTAAAAATTATCTGAGCCTTCACCCAGTCATCAACTTTTTGCTGGTGGAGGGTCTTGCCTTGATGCTGACGACTGTTGACTGATCAGGGTGGTGGTTGCTGAAAGCTGAGGTTTTCACCTCAAAATTAGACAACAACAAAGTTTGCTGCACCAATTGACTCCTCCTTTCACGGAAGGTTTCTCTGCAACATGTGATACTGTTTGATAACATTTTACCTCCAGTAGAACTTCTTTCAAAATTAGAGCCAGTCCTCTCAAATGTTACCACTGCTTTATCATCTAAGTTTATGTAATCTTCTCAATCCTTTGTTGTCATTTCAACAATGTTCACAGCATCTTTACCAAGAGTAGAATCCATCTCAAGAAACCCTTCTCCCTGCTCATTCATAAGAAGTAACTACCCATTCATTAAAATTTTGTCATGAGATTTCAGCAATTCAATCACATCTTCCAGGCTTTACTTCTAATTCTAGTTATCTTGCTATTTCTACCACATCTGTGGTTACTTCTTCCAAAGAAGTCTTGAACCCCTCAAAGTCATCCATGAGTGTTGGAATCAACTTCTTCAAACTTCTGTTAATGTTAACATCTTGACCTCTTTCCATGAATCATAAATATTCTTAATGGCATCTATAAAGGTGAATCCTTTCCAAAAGGTTTATGATTTACTTTGTCCTGATCCATTAGAGGAATCACAATCTATGGCAGCTATAGCCTTACAAAATGCACTTCTTAAATAAGAAGACTTGAAAGTCAAAATTACTCCTTGATCCATGGGCTGCAAAATGGATGCTGTATTAGCAGACATGATAACAACATTAATCTCCTTGTACATTTCCATCAGACCTCTTGGGTGGCTAGGTGCATTGTCAATGAGCAGTAATATTTTGAAATGAATCTTATTTGCCAGTGGTGGGTTTCAACAATTTGTTTAAAATATTTATTAAACCATGCAGTAAACAGATGTGCTGGCATCAAGGCTTTGTTGTTATCTTTACAGAGCACAGGCAGAGTAGATTTAGCATAATTCTCTTACAGTGCTAGGTTTTTCAAAATAGCCAGTGAGCATTGGCTTCAACTTAGAGTCACCAGCTGTATTAGTTCCTAACAAGAGAGTCAACTTTTCCTTTAAATTTTTGAAGCCAGGCATTGACTTCTTCTCTCTAGCTATGAAAGTCCTTGATGGTATTTTCTTCCAATAGAAGGCTGTTTCATCTACACTGAGTTTGTTGCTTAGTGCAGCTATATCATTTGGGTAACTTGCTGCATCTTCCAAATCAGGACTTGATGCTTCATCTTGTACTTTTATGTTATGGAGATGGCTTCTTTCCTTAAACCTCATGAACCAACTTCTGCTAGCTTCAAACTTTTCTTCTGCAGCTTTCTCATCTCTCTCAGCCTTCATAAAATTGAAGAGTTGGGGGCTTGCTCTGGATTAGGCTTTGGTTTAGGGTAGGTTGTGCCTAGTTTGATCTTTTACACAGACATCAAAAACTTCCTTTATATCAGCAATAAAGCTGCTTGTTTTCTTATCATTCATGTATTCATTGAAGTAGCACTTTTAATGTCCTTCAAGAACTTTTTCTTTGGATTGACAGGTTGCCTGTTTGATCCAAGAGGCCTAGCTTACTGCCTATATCAGCTTTTGACATGCCTTCCTCACTAAGCTTAATACTTTCCAGCTTTTGATCTAAAGTGAGAGATATGTGGTGACTCATTTCATTTGAACACTTAGAAGACACTATAGGGTTATTAATTGGCCTAATTTTAATATTGTGTATGTCAAGGAATAAGGAGGATTGGGAGAGGGAGAAAGATGGGGGAATGGCTAGTCAGTGAAGCAGTCAGAACACAGGCAACATTTATTCATTAAGTTTGCTATCTTATATGAGCATAGTTTGTGGCACCCCAAAACAATTACAATAGTAACATAAAAGATTACTGATCATAGATCACTATAACAGACATTATAATGATGAAAAATTTGAAGTATTGCAAGAATTACAGAAATGTGACACACAGACAAAAAGTAAGCACATGCTGTTGGAAAAATGGCACCAATAGACTTGCTCAAGGCAGGCTTACCACAAACTTTGAATTTCTAAAACAAAAACATATGGAATAAATAAATAGAAATATATAAAAACAGAAAACAAAACAAAACACAATATGGCCAGGCACAGTGCCTGGCTCACACCTGTAATCTCAGTACTTTGGGAGGTGGAGGCACATAGCTTGAGCTCAGGAGTTCAAGACCAGCCTGGGCAACATGGTGAAACACTGTCTCTATAAAAAATGCAAAAGAGAAAAAATTAGCTGGGCATGGTGGCATGCGCCTGTAGTCCCAACTACTCAGGAGACTGAGGCCGGAGGATCATTTGAGCCCAGGAGGTGGAAGTTAAGTTGCAATGAGCTGAGATTGCACCACTTCACTCCAGCCTGAGTGACAGAGTGAGACACTGAAAAAAAAAAGCAAGCAAGCAAGAAAGAAAGAGAAAAGGAGAGAAAGAAAGAAAACAAAAACATATATTTGAGAAGTATAGTAAAATGAAATGCAATAAAACAAGATATGCCTGTATTTTCATCACAGTTTTTATCAATCTCTAAAAGTAACTTCATTGTTTTTGTTTCTTATTCATTTTTTTTTACTTCTATAGGATATGTTCTTTGAGGGAAGAGTCATGTTTGTAAGTATGTCTAGCACTTAAACCAGTTTCATGTTCCATAACTGTAGCTAATAAATATTTGAACATAAACATAATCCCTGTTCTCTAGAAACTCAAATTAGTGAGTGCAGGTAGACACATCAACCAACAATCACTAAACTGTGAATTAAGTACAGTGATAGAGGTAGATTTTAGAATTAATAGAGACACAGAAGGATACCTAATACATGAAGGAGAGAATAAAGAGAACAAGAGACTCTGAGAAAAAGGGGTACCTGAACCAAGACATAAGAAGTTATTAAGTTGGTTATTTGAAATAAGAAGTAGGAGGCCAAATACATAAAATTTTTAAAATGAAATGTAAAACAGCATGCAATGGAACTGTTGATTCAATGTCAAGTTTGAGATAGGGAGTGACTAGAGGAAAAGCTGAATAGTTTTACAGGAAGAAGATAAGAGAGAGCATTATATGCACTTTAAGGAGTTTAGATTTAATTCTAGAATAGTTGATGAGCACCAAAAAAGTTTAGGTTCAACCAACCAATGGATTAAAGAACAAATCACCAGGAAAATCAAAAAATACTTAGAGATGAATAAAAATGAAAACACAACATACTAAAACTTATGGAACACAGTGAAAGAAGTACTAAGGGGAAAATTTGTAGCTATAAACAATTACATTAAAAAGCAAGAAAGATCACAAATGAACAACTTTATCTTGCCTCTTAATTAGAGAAAATAAAACTATCTATACTTAAAGCTACTAGAAGGATGAAAATGATAAATACTAGATCACAGATTTAACAAAATAGGTAAGAGAAAAAACAATAGAGAAAAAACAAAATTTGGTTCTTTGAAAAGGTAGACAAAATTGACAAATCTTTAAGCTAAATTAATCAAGAAAAAAGAGAGAAGATGCAAACTTTGAAAGTCATAAATGAAAGTGAGCATATCACTACTGATTCTCCAAAAATAAAAAATTATAAGGAATACTAGAACAATTGTTCTCCATTAAATTAGATAACCTACATAAAATAGACAAATTATTAGAAATACAAAACTTACCAAGAATAAATCACAAAGGAATAGAAAATCTGAATACACCTAGAAAATATGACTAATAAGAAGATTACATTAACAATTAAAAATCTCCCAGTGAAGAAAATCTCTGGACCTGATGTCTTCACTGATGAATTCTACAGAAGAGTAAAAAAAATACTAATTCTCAAACTTTTCAAAAAAATTTAAGAGGAACTCCCTAACTCACTCTGCGAAGTCATTATCAAGCTGATGCCAAAGCTAAAGATACTACAAAAAAAAAGAAAACTACAGAACAAAGTTCCTTATGAACATGGATGTGAAGATTTTTAATAAAATAATAGCAAACTGAATTTAGTAGCATATTAAAAGAATAATTTATCACAATTAAGTGCAGTTTATTCCTGGAATGCAAAGATGGTTCAACATAGCAAAATTGATCAATGTAATACATCACAATAACAGAATGAAGGACAAAAACACAGGCTTATATCAATTGACTCAGAAAAAAATTTGACAAAATTCAATACCTTTTCATGATAAAAACACTCAACAATCTATAAATAAAAGGAAAGTATCTCAACATAATAAAACCCATATATCAAAAACCCACAGAGAACATCATACTCAATAGTGAAAGATGGAAAGCTTTTACTCTAAGATAGGAACAAGGCAAGGATGCCCACCTTCCCTACTTACTCAAAGTTCTAACCACAGCAAGTAGGCAATTAAACAAGAGGCATTTAAATTGGAAAAGAAAAAGTGAAATTGTTTCTGTTCACAAATTATGTAATCTTACATGTAGATAACTCTAAAAATTCCACAAAGAAACTAAATGAATTCAGGCAAGTAGCAAGATTCAAAATCAACACCCCAAATCAGTTGCCTTTCTGTATGCCAATGACAAACTACCTGAAAGGGAAATTACAAAAATAATTCAATTTACAATAGCATAAAAAAAGAATAAAATACTTAGGAATTAACTTAACCAAGAAGGTGAAAGACTTGTGCAATGAAAACAAAATATTGATGAAATAAATTGAAGACACAAATAAATAAAAACACATCCCATGTTCATGGATTGGGAGACTTAACATTATATAAAAGTCTTAGAAGAAAACCAAGGGCAAAAGCTTTATTACAGTGAATTTGGCAATGGTCTCTTGAATATCCCACCAAAGGCACAGGCAACAAAATAAAAAATAAATAAACTGGACTTCATAAAAATAAAAAAAAATCTTGTTCATTGAAAGACAATATCAACAGAGTAAAGAGGCAGCATGTAGAATCAGATAAAGTATTTGCAAATCATATATCTGACAACAGTATCAGATAGATGAATCAATTGGGATGAGCAATTAATATCTACACTATATGGAAACTTCTTAAAATTCAACAACAACAAAAATCTGATTAATAAATGAGCAAAGAATATGATATATCTCCAAAGTAGATATACAAATGGCCAATAAGCACATGAAAAGATGTGGAACATCACTAATAATCAATGCAAATCAAAACAACAATGCAATATCATGTAACACTCATTAGGATAACCACTATCAAAAAAGAGAGAAAGAGAGAGCAAAAATAACAACTGTTGGTGAAAGTGTGAAGAACTTAGAATGTTTGCACACTGTTGGTGGGAATTTAAAATAGTACAGCCACTGTAGAAAAGAGTATGTCAGTTCCCCAAAACATTAAAAATAGAATAGCCATAAGATCCAGTGGTTTCACTTCTGAGTATCTGTCCAAAAGAATTTAAAATAGGATTTCAAAGAGATATTTATGCACCCATGTTCATAGTAGCATTATTCACAATAGCCAAAATATGGAAGCAATTACAATGTCCATTGACAGATGAGTGGATAAGCGAAATGCAGTATACACATACAATGACATACCAGTCAGCCTTAAAAATAAAGGATATTCCAACATATGCTACCACATGGATGAAACTTGGGGACATTATGTTAGGTGAAATAACCTAGTCAAAAGAAGACAAATACTGTATGATTCCACTTTTATGAGATACTTAGAATAGTCAAAATTATACATAGACAAGAGAATGGTGGTTGTAAGGGGCTGGGTAGATAGGAAATGGGAAGTTATTTTTTAATGGCTACGGAGGATCAGTTTACAAAATGCAGAGTTATGGAGATGAGTGGTGATGATTGCACATTATGCATATATTGATTTAATACCACTGAATTATGCACTTAAAAATGGTTATGATAGTGAATTTTATGTACATATATTTTAATACAATTTTAAAAGTTGTAAAAAAAAGTTCTAGGCAGTAGAATTCTGTAATATGGCCAATGTTTTAGATAGATCATTAATCAGCTTTGTGAAGAAAGTATTTAAGACAAGTAGGCTAGGTTAGGAGCCAGCATACCAGTCAGGAGATTTTTAGGGTAATTAGAGGAAGAGGCCCATTACATTAGGTCATGGAAGCTGAGATAAATAAGAGGGATCTATATTGTTCTTACGGTTCCTGACTCAACCTTGGGGAGATTTTTTTCATGTCATTTGTCCTCCATGGTCATATCTGAAATACATTTTTGGAATATATCTCCTTTTAGTGGCTGCACAGCTTTAGCAGCTTCTTCCTTCTGGTGACTGTTTGGTGGTACAATAATAATCTCACAGTAACAAGATTTGGTTATTTTGACACCCTAATTCCTCCCAAAATTAAAAAATATATATATTATTATTTGTCTCACAACCGTTTAATTGTAGCAATAGTTATACCCAAACATTTTTTTCTAGACATATCCTATCCTGCCTTCTTCATTTCCGTGCTTCCTTTGCCCTTATCACAATTTTTCTTGACTTTAAAGGTAGGTATTTTGAGGCCATCTAAACTGCAGGAACAGGTGCGAAGGCAATGACTGTAATGCTGAGTTTCTTTATTTTACTAAAAAGTTTTAATAGGACTATGTCCCTCAGAGGCTTTCTCTTTAAATCATGACTAGTTTTATTTATAATCATTTTAAGACTATTTTAGAGCAGTTTTAGGCTGACAGCAACATTGAGAAGTACAGTTTCCCAATAACCCCTACACCCACACATGCACAGCCTCCCTAACTATCAACACCCACCACCAGAATGATACATTTGTTACAATTGATGAAAGCTACATTCATATATCATTATCACTCAAAGTCCACACTTTACATTGGGATTTGCTCTTGGTGTACCTTTATGGGTTTTGACAAAGGTGTGATGCCATGTTTCCACCACAACAGTATCACACAGAGTAGTTTCACTGCCCTAAAACTCTTCTGTGCTCCACCTATTCCTCCCACCCTTCTTCCTAACATCTGATATTCTCTGATCTTTTTATTCTCTCCATTGTTGTTGTTTTGTTGTTTTTACCTTTTCCAGAATGTCATATAGTTGGAATCATACAGTATGTAGTTGAATTAGTCCATTTTCACATTGCTATGAAGAAATACCTGATACTGGGTAATTTATAAAGAAAAAAAGCTTTAATGGACTCAGTTCCATGTGACTGGGGAGACCTCACAATTATGGCAGAAGGCAAAAAAGGAGCAAAGGGACATCTTACATGGCAGCAGGCAAGAGAGCATGTGCAGGGGAACTGCCCCTTTAAAACCATCAGACCTTGTGAGACTTATTCACTATCATGAGACAAGCATGGGAAAATCCCACCCCCGTGATTCAATTACCTCCCACCAGGTCCTTCCCATGACATGTGGGGATCATGGGAATTACAATTCAAGATGAGTTATGGGTAGGGACACAGACAAAAAATATCATTCTGCCCCGGCCCCTCCCAAGTCACATGTCCTACATTTCAAAATTAGTTATGCCTTCCCAACAGTCCCCCAAAATCTTAACTTATTTCAGCATTAACTCAGAAGTCCACAATCCAAAGTCTCATCTGAGACAAGGCAAATCCCTTTGGCCTATGAACCTGTAAAATAAAAAGCAAGTTAGTTACTTCCTAGATACAATGGGGGTACAGGCATTGGGTAAATATGCCCATTCCAAAAGGGAGAAATTGGCCAAAACAAAGGGTCTACAGGCACCAAGCAAGTCTAAAATCCAGGAAGGCAGTCAAATGTTAAAGCTTCAAAATGATCTCCTTGGACTTCAGGTATCATATCCAGGTCACACTGATGTAAGATGTGGGTTCCCATGATCTTGGCCAGCTCTGCCCCTGTGGCTTTGGAGGGTACAGCTCCCTTCCTGGTTGACTTCACAAGCTGTTGGTGGATCTACCATTCTGGGGTCTGGAGGACAGTGGCCTTCCTCTCACAGCTCCAATAGGCAGTACTCCAGTGGGGACTCTGTGGGGGCTCCCACCCCACTTTTCCCTTCCACACTGCCCTAGCTGAGGTTCTCCATGAGGGCCCCACCCCTGCAACAAACTTCTGCCTGGACATCTAGACATTTCCATACATCATCTGAAATCTAGGCAGAGGTTTCCAAACATCAATTCTTGACTTCTGTAAACATGCAGGCCCAATAGCATGTGTAAATTGCTGAGGTGTGGGGCTTGCACCCTCTGAAGCAATGGACTGAGCTACACCTTGGCTCCTTTTAGCCACAGCTGGAGTGGCTGAGAATCCAAGGCACCAAGTCCCTAGGCTGCACACAGCAAGGGGGCCCTGGGCCTAGCCTACAAAACCATTTTTTCTTCCTAGGCCTCTGGCCTGTGATGGGAGGGGCTGCTGTGAAAGTCTCTGACATGCCCTGGAGACATTTTCCTCATCATTTTGGTGATTAACATTTGACTTCTTGTTACTTATGCAAATTTCTGCAGCCTGCTTGAAGTTTTCCTCAGAAAATGGGTTTTTCTTTTCTATTGCATTGTCAGACTGCAAATTTTCTAAACTTTTACGCTCTGCTTCCCTTTTAAATGTAAGTTCCAATTCCAAACCATATATTTGTTAATGAATAAAACTGAATAAGTGCTTTTAAGAGCACACAAGTCACCTTTTGAATGCTTTGCTGCCTAGAAATTTCTTCTGCCAGATACCCTAAATCATCTCTCTCAAGTTCAAAATTTCACAGATCTCTAGGGCAGAGGCAAAATGCCGTCCATCTCTTTGCTAAAGCATAGCAAGAATCACCTTTGCTCCAGTTACCAATAAGTTCCTCATCTCTATCTGACACCCTGCTCAGCCTGCACTTTTTGTTGAAACCATTCAACTAGTCTCTAGGAAGCTCCAAACCTTTCCACATCTTCCCATCTTCTTCTGAGACCTCCAAACAGTTCCAACTTCTGCCTGTTACCCAGTTCCAAAATTGCTTCCATGTTTTCAGGTATCTTAATAGCAGTACCCCACTCTACTGGTACCTATTTACTATATTAGTCCTTTCTCATGCTGCTAATAAAGACATACCTGAGAATGGGTAATTTATAAAGAAAAAAAAGCTTTAATGGACTCACAGTTCCACATTGCTGGCAGGCCGCACAATCATGGTGGAAGGTGAAGGAGGAGCAAAGTCACATCTTACACGGCAGCAGGAAAGACAACGTGTGCAAGGGAACCGCCCTTTATAAAACCATCAGATCTTGTGAGACTCATTCACTATCACAAGAACAGCATGGGAAAAACCTGTCCCCATGATTCAATTACCTCCCAACAGGTCCCTCCCACAACATGTGAGAATTATGGGAACTTCAATTCAAGATGAGATTTGCGTGGGGACACAGCCAAACCATATCAGTAGCCTTCTAGATTGATGTCTTTCATTGACTAATGTGCTTTTTAGCCTCCATGTGTTTTCATGACTTGATAGCATTTATTTTCAGTGGTGAATAATATTCCATTGTCTCAATGCATCACAGTTTATTTATCCACTCACCTAGTGAAGAACAGACATCCTGATTGCTTCCCAGTTTTGGCAATTATGAATAAAGCTGTGCTAACATCTGTGTGTACATGTTTTTGTGGGCATAAGTTTTCAACTCATTTCAAGGAGCATGATTGCTGAATTGTATGGTGTGTTTAGTTTAATAAGAAAGTGTCAAATTGTCTTCCAAAGTTTCTGTGCTATTTTTCATTCCTGCCAGCAGTGAATAAGAGTTCTTATTGTTTCACATCCTTGCCAGCATTTGATGTTGTCAGTATTTTGGGTTTTCTTCATTCTGATAGGTGTCTAGAGGTGTCTCATTGATTTAATTTGCAGTTCCTTAATAATGTATGATGTTGAGCATCTTTTCATATGCTTATTTGCCATCTATGTATTTTCTTTGGTGAGGTGCCTGTTCTTTTGCCCATTTTTAAATCAGGTTATTTATTTACATAGTGTTGGGTTTTAAGTGTTCCTTTTATATTTGGGATAAAAGTCCTTTTTTGTATCGGTCTTTTGCAAATATTTTCTAAGTCTGTAGTTGTTTTCTCATTCTCTTAACAGTGGTTTCCAAAAACTCAACTGTTTTATTTTGAAGTCCAGCATATCAATTATTTCTTTCATGGGTTGTGCCTTTGTATTATATATTCTCAAAGCCTTTTTAGGTCTTTTTTTTATTGATTTGGTTCTAGAAGTAGTAAAGTTTTCTTACCTTGAAAGGCTCCATATTTCAGAGCTAGCATTATCTTTCTCTCTCTCTCTTGCTCTCTCTCTCTCTCGTCATTCATTGCTTAAGAAATGGTTCTCTGTAGTCTGCCTTCATTTCATTCTTCTCATGTCATATTAAACTCAGTAACAATGAACAGATAATACTACTAATCCTATTTCAAGTTTTTTAAAATTACACCATACCACTTAAGTCACCAATTTCTATTTTAGAATAGTAGGCACTGTTATAAATAAATCCTCAAATCTCAGTGGCTTAATGGAAATTTATTTTTGATTCACATACTAGTCAATTATGAGGATTCCTGGTTGGTGTTTAGTCACATGAGAATTATAGATCCCAGTCTACTTTCATTGTGTGGTTCCACTTTCTCAAACAGATGGGGAAAGTCATAAGAGTTTGTTTAAAAGTCCCTTGGCCCAGAAGTGACTGGTCATTTCTCATTATATTACATTGTTATAAATTATTCTTGTTTTCTCTTCTGGATCCAAGAGAGCTTTGTCTTGGAAATACAGTCCTTGGTTGGGAAGTCTTTCTACATTATGACAGACAGAATATGAATATTTTGTAGGAAACATACATTATTTGTAGAAAAAAACATAAGAATGGAGGATTTCAGCCAGGAGTAATGTGATGAGAGAAAGAATTGAAAGGGCCAAAGAAGAATCCCTAGATCATACCAACATTTAAGGGACTGGCTGAGAATGAGAACCATGGGAAGAAGACTTAGAAGGAATTGATCAGCCAGAGGGCAAAATCTAGGATGCCAGGGGAAGAAACAGTTTCAATTAAGAAAAAAAAAAAAAAAAACCGAGAGCTAAATGCAGATATGTATGTTAATAAAGGGGTTCAAAATACTTTATTGTATTTGGAATTGATAACATATAAAGTGAAATGAGGGATGTGATAGCCAGTTTGCAGAGGGTAGTAGAGTGGACAGGATTTAAATACGGATGTGGAAAAAGGAACTAAAGACTCTTTCTGCCATAGTTTAAATGTATTCCCCAAAGTTCATGTATTGGGAACTTAATTCCCAATGTGTTGAGAGGTGGGACTTTTAGGAGGTAATTAGGTCATGAGGGTTCTGCCCTCGTGAATGAATTAATGTCATTATCATGGGAGTAGATTTGCTATAAAATTGAGTTTGCCCGCAATACTTTGTCATGCTCTCAAGACCTTTCTGCCTTCCACGAGGGATGATGCAGCAAGAAGACCCTGACCACATGCCAGCCCCTTCTTGGACTTCCCAGCCTCTAGGACTGTAAGAAATAAATCTCTATTCCTTATAAATTACCCAGCCTGTGGTATCCTCTTATAGTAGCACAAAGTAGACTAAGACACTTTCTCGTAAGAACTTTGCATCAGCAGAGGAGAAACGATATAAAGAAATACCTAGAAGGAGACACAGATTTAATGTAAGGGATTTACTATTGCTTTTGTTGCAAAAACAAATTTTTTTAAAAAAAAGAAGACTAAGTTTTTGTTGCAAAATATCATTTTGTTTTGGAATTTGAAGAGACTTAACCATGTGGATACACTGAAAAGGGCACATATTTCCTGCCAATATAAAACTACGAGGAAGATAACTTTCCTCCTCAGAACTCCTATAGTGTTTAACTGAACCATTAGTGCGTCGTAAATACCCATATTCTTGACAGGTTTCCACTACTAGACATAAGATCACTGAGGCAGAATCTAGGTCTAATTTATAGTTGCATCTGCAGAGCATCTTAGGAACATTGACGTGTTTACCTTCTGTATATAGAATAGTAACCAAAAATGTTTTTTGTATAAATGTAAGAAATCTTTCACTGTCAAGATTGTGTATTTGCTCAAGTGAATATTGTTTCTTGAAAAGATGGGTGATGATTTTTAAGCCTACCAACCTTTCTGCTCCATAATTTTCTCCCCTTCTTTTTACATTCTCACTCATTTTTTTCTGTTGTACTGCTAGACAATAGAGGCAGCCATCATAATTATAATAAATGTAACACGATCTACTTCATAAGGAAACATTATTTGTGATTAATATAATAAGATTAAAGACTCAGAAACAACCCTGTGGAGCTATCCAACCTCCTTTGCTGTGACAGTTACATAATATATCAATCATATCTGTAATACATTGGTCTCTTTGGTGGGTGAAATCTCTATTCGCCTTTGTTAAATTGTTAATGGCTTCGAAGTTTAGCTACCTGGTTTTCCTTAATTTTTTTTTTTTTTGCAGTTTGTTTAGAACTTTTTATTTTCCTAAATTGACAAATTTATGTAAATTTTACTTATGAACAATAGTCCCCCTTAAAAGCAATTCACATCTAGACATCTAGTACATTCCTAGATTTAATGTACTCTTTAGGTCTAATCTTACCTACTCACTCAATAGTTATAAATTAAAATATAATACAGCTTTGACTTCTAGACTAAATCTGACAGCTGAGATTTAATTTGCCATTATGACCTCGTAGTTGTAAAACAGAAACTAGATCTATAGCTCACCTTATTAAAGCATGGCCATCTATCACTGCCTAATTTAATCCCTACTTTTTCCAAGAAATTTACAAAAACTCATTTTTTTCTATAAATTCATAGCTTTTACTTTCATTATCCCTTTTATCATTTAACTTTTCATATGGGTCTTTCTCTTAAAGATCAGTGACTGTGCATTATGCTTCTTTGAATGTTTGAACATAATAGATTTTCAATGGAAGAATGAAATGTATTAATGATAAATCATCTCAACTACAGGGCAAAATATCTTCATAATAAGTGATTGAGATAACAAAGGAATCACAGGGTTCATTATGCCAGATCATGAATGAGGGAGAAATTATGTGGAATGCTTATTAACAACAGCTGATTCTCAGAAAAGGAAAAACTAAATTAGGAGACTGAGCATTGCTGTAAGGTAGAAGAGAGTCCCCTTCACAAATGCCTGAGAAGAAAGTGTTAAGAGGACAAATTGACCCACTGTGGCAAGTGCTGGTGAGCAGTCAAATGATAATTACGTTTGACAAGACAAGAATCACCATGGAACTGGATGAGAGCTATTTCAGTTGAGTGTTGCATCCCAGGATCTGCATGTTTAACAAGAACCGCAGATAATTTGTATGCAGAATGACTTCAAATCACACCAAGACACTAATATTATCTTAAACTACTTCTACAAACTTGAATGGGGAAAACTTGAAACTAAACACAAAGTCAATTGACCTGATTCTTCTCTCTAAATAGATTATCTATTTAGATTATTATAGATTATTGTATTAAAATACTCTTATCATAGTTGAAAGTAACCAAATATCTACATGTTTTATGTATTAATAACAGGAACTTCAAATAAAACATTAGTAATAAATATTCTAAGTTCAAGAATGTTGCTCTCTGTACTCATCTCATGAACACAAGATATTAGGAAATTTTTATTTCTGTTGAACAAAAGAATTATACTAAGGTGAAACCTTCCCATTATGTTTTCCAGATAAGACAGAGAATCAAATATTTTAAGCATGACAATAGAAGGAAGTGCTAAGTGTATGCATGAGAATGGCTCTCCAAAGGATAAACATTACATCAGGGAAACATTATAGGAAGAACATTTTATATGGATCTCACAGCACTGAAATTATGAATGTTTCCCACTAGAAATTATGTTGGAAAGGTTATGTTTTACAAAGATTTAATTCAAACATAAGGAAATTAAAATAATGTAACCTGAAGAAATGTTTGTAATATTTATTTGATATTTTCCACAGGAAATGAAGACTCAGTAATAATTAAATACAAACAACATCTACTGAAACAGGCTTATGAATGGTTGTGTGGAAAAACAAATTCAGAATTGGAAACTTCCTGCTCTCAGTTCTATTTTTGAGAATAATAATAGAATAAAAGCATAACATGAGACTATTACTTAGAAAAGATAATTGTGTTTGTAAGTGTGTGCATTCACACAGATCACAGAGAGACATACTGTGTAGGAATAATTTTCATTATGGTAATGAAAGGTAATGTGTTCAAGAGAGTTGGGTGGAAATTAATAACACTCGGGGGGTTCTAATTGTTATTTTCCATCTTTATGAACGTCTTTCTGAAGCCCAATAAATAGTTGATGAATCATTCAGTAGCTAAGGAAAAAAAAACTATATTAATCACTGTATTTTGGGCAGAGTTAGGCTTTTATTATGACACTGAATGTTGCCTGGTGTCCAGAAAGCAGTCCCCGAAGCAGTTTTAATAAATGCTACTGCTGGAAGTATATATATTTTCAACAGACTGAAGTGTGATTTCTAAACACTTAAAAGGAAAGCAGACATAAAAAAAGATTGAGAAAGACATCCTAGTATACTTGAAAACTACTAAATTGATAAATATTTAAAGAGTTCATGAAAATGTAAGGAATGCAGTTATTTAACAATATATACTGATAATTTGATATCCAAATTAATTTAAAGAGCTGAACATCACAATTCCCAAATCAAGCATTGTGTAGTTTCCAAAAGGTAGCACTCATTCACTCATCTTCTTCCTTCTCAATATTCAAAATCTCACATTTTGGTTGTAATACATTTTCCAATAATTTGTTGTATTATTTCCCAGAAACCCAAGTCAATCTAACAGGGTAGAAAAATCATACTTCCTGGTATTTCACTTGAACATCTCATGAACATTCTCTTTCTCAAAGCCTGCCCAAAAGACAAAAGTGGTTCTCCATGGCAACAATCAACCTGTAAGGAAGAATTTATAGAGGAAGGGAAACACTATTTGTAAGTCATGTAGTTGGAAATAAGAACAAGGATTGGTTGGAAAAGGGACAACAAATTTTCTCACCTCACCAAGTCCACTCCGCTTCAAAGAAATCTCAGGCAAAACAAGAACTTCATGAATTAATACAGCAAATATATAGTACTAATCTCTGAGTTCCATGGAGCCAAGGCAACCAGGCCTTGAAAGTCTCTCCAATTTATGGAGATAGAGTCACCATAATTGGTGAGAATATCCCACCAAGTAACCCAGGAACTGAACTTTTCAAGGTTCACGTCAGGGTTTCCCATCCATGAAGGCCCCGTTTGTCTTGTGTTTGGATTTAGACGTTTGGATCTTTGGAATGAAATTTTATTACCTGGGTGAAATTCTTTCAGAACCCTCAACCATAATCCTATCAGACTTCTCTCAAAAGTATATTTTCATTTATGAGAGCAAAATAACATTTTGATATGGGAGTATACCTCAGAGAAGCAGTGATTAGATGAGGGAGGAAGTCACAAGAAGGAAGAGGATGTTGTTAGCATGTTCAGACTTCCCCCATTTGTGTGAGGCCATTAATATGTATTTGGTAATTAATGAATACCTAATCCTTGCAAACTGCAATATCCTAGCTGTGCCCATAGATATTTTTTAAACCTTATCCATTTTTTAAAAGCCACTTTATTCTTTAGAGCAGTTTTATGTTCAGATCAATATTGAGAAGAAAGCACTGAGAGTTCCCATGTGCCTCTTACCCCAACACAGGCACAGCCTCCCCAAATATCAATGCCCCCCACCAGAGTGGTACATTTGTTATAAATGATAAACATTCGTACATCATTATCACCCAAAGCTCATACTTATATTAGGGTTTACTCTTGGTGCTGTACATGTATGGGTTTTGACAAAGGTGTAATTCCGTGTATTCACCATTAGAGTACCACACAGAATAGTTTCACTGCCCTAAAAATTTTCTGTGAATATGCTCCGCATATTCAACTACCCTCCTTCCTAACCTCTGGCAACCTCTGATCTTTCTGCTGTCCCCAGAGTTTTGCCTTTCCCAGAATGTCACACAGATGGAGTCATATAGAATGTAGCCTTCTAGATTGGCTTCTTTCACTTACTATAATAACAAACTTTTAAGGTTCCTTCATGTCTTTTCATGGCTTGATAGTGCCTTATTTTCAGTGCTGAATAACATTCCACTTTCTGGATGTACCACAATTTATCTGCTCACTTAGTGAAGACAGACAGCTTGTTTGCTTCCAAGTTTTGGCAATTATGAATAAAGCTGCTGTAAATATTGGTGTGCAAGTGTTTTTGTGGACAAAAGTTTTCAACTCATTTCAAACAACATGGTTGCTGAGTTGTATGATGTGCTTAGTTTTCTAAGAAACTTGCTCAATATCATATAATATTAAGCTACTTTTTCATGTACTTATTTGACATCTGTACATCTTCTTTGGTAAGGTATCTGTTCAGATCCTTGGCCTATTTTTTTTAATCAAGTTGTTCATTCTCTTACTGTTGAGTATTGCATAGATTTTCAGCCTCTTATAACATGTGCATCCTCAAGTTTTGGGAGGGCTCACAAAACGTCTAATGTACATCCATAAAATTTTCTTGGGCACAGCTGGTTGTCATTGTTAAGTCAGGAATCTCTAGCAACACATATCAAACCCCTAGTATAACCAAATTCATGTTTGGCTGCTCACCACTCAAAACACTGAATACATAACAGGTGAGGTATGGTGAAAGGAAAGCAGCTTTATTTAAATGCCAGTAGTTGAGGAGATGGCCAGCCTCAAGCAGCAAAGAAACAATCTCAAATTTTTAGGCTGAGTGAAGGGGCTTAAAAAAGGAAACTTGGCATAGGAAACGTGTAAGAGTGGTGCAGGATACAGGTCTGCATGCCTTGTTATGATGGCTATCTGGAGATATTGTCCACCTGGAGTGCAGGCTGGCACCGTCTCGACAATGACTAGTTTGTAGATTACCCGCCTTGAGCTGGGTCTCCATGCCTGGTTTGATTCAAGATTAGTCCCTGGGATTTCTAAGCAAGCTCATAATTAGATAAGCTAGCACAGTGCATGGGAGTGTCTGCTGGGAAAGAGAGGGAAACAAAGTTTCAAAGCACAGTTTAAGGCTACATTCTGAGATTAGAGAAGAAAAGTCCAAAATGCATTTTAAAGCTAAGCTACTCTGTTACACAAAGAGGGGTCCCTCAGTATCAAATCACCATCTACCATAGAGAGAGAACTGGGATTTACTAGTTTTATTCCTACCTGGCATCTGGCATCTTGCAGAGTTAATACTCCCAGCCCAGCCAAGGCTTGCCAATTGGCCTGAGTCACCGTCATTGAGACTTCCACAGCGTCAGTGCTGTAGAGTTGCCTATGGTGCCACCTAAAAGTGAGTGAAAGCAACAATCTTTCCTCCATGTGATGTGCAGTTAGAGGGAGTCCCACTGTTGGGAAGCTTAGGCCCCAAAGTCAAGAGTTTAGTAAAGCACCATAGTCAATTCACACACATGACATTATTTTCCCCCGACCTGTGCCAAGGTGGTTATGCTATCAGCTTCAGGTTCAAATTGTTGTCTCATCCCATACAGCCTCTGGTGTCAAATGTGCCTTTTCTCCTTTTGAAAATTCACCCTCAATGGTCTCATCATCATTCCCTGTAATCCAGCCTCCACCTACCAGGTACGTTTACTATGTCAGAAATCGAGTCATAGACAGGGTTCAAGTTATTTTCCCTGTAAGAGACTAGTGAGTGTGCCTGTCTCAAAAAGTCTGAAAATGTTCATACATAGTTTTTCTCCATCCTTAAGGAAGCATAATTTTCTCCAAATTCAAGATGATACAAAATTGATTTTTTATGCCTGGGAATGTCAAATTGCTGATGCTGCTAGAGGTAAATGATTGATTCAAATATTCACAGGTGACAAGATTGCCAGCAAACAGCAAGATTCCATATTTCTAGAGAAACAAAACAATGACTAGAACAAAACCATCAGTTTCAAATGGATGAGTGCTTCTCTGTGAATGCCAGGCCAAAGAGCAAGAGTGGTAGCAAACCTGGTTCAATGGTTTGTGCTATTCCACATCTGCCTGTCCTGATGGAGAAGGGGTCCCCTTCTTTACCCCTCACAAAGGCGCTGTATGGGATAGTGTAATCCCACCCAGGCTCATTAGATAAACATCCAAAGCAACTCAAATCTCACTAGGAATAGTGAAACTTGTGCTAGAAATAAAAACAAAAGCCAGAGTCAGAGAGTTTTTTGTTTGTTTTTCTGCTAAAGACAAATCAATTCCTGTCATGGATTTTCATCTGATATATTATTTGAAACAAAATAATTTATATGCAAAGATAGAAACAGAAGAATAAAGTATCATTTCCAATTAAACATGATTGTGCTGCCTGATTTATTTTTTCAAAGTGAGAGAAATACAATGAGTTATAACAAGCTTTATTATAGCTTCAAATATAACCAAGCTAAAAATGACTTTGATTTTGTGTGACTGATTTTCTTCAGAAAGTTGAAATAGACACGGTATGTTCTAAGGTTACCATGTTATTTTTTAACGCAATATTTTACACTGTATCAATACAAAATTTTTTAGATCAAGAATATATCAAATCACCATTTTCTTCTCTAAGGTTTTTGAAATCTAAAGTGTTGGCAGAAATCTTCTAACTCTGAGGTTAGAACTAATCTTATTAAAATGGTTTCCTATACACAATGGGAAGCTACTGAAGGGTTTTAAGTAAAATCAGATCTGTGTTTGAAAAGCTCTCTCTGGGCCAGGTGCAGTGGCTTACGCCTATAATCCCAGCACTTTGGGAGGCTGAGGTGGGTGGATTGCTTGAGCCCAGGAGTTTGAGACCAATCTAGGCAAGATGGCAAAACCCATCTCTACAAAAAACACAAAAATTAGCCAAGTTCGGTGGTGTGTGCCTGTAGTTCCAGCTACTCGGGAGGCTGAGTTGGGAGGATCACTTGAGTCCAGGAGCTGGAGCTTGCAGTGAGCCGAGATGGCACCGCTGTACTCCAGGCTGGGAAACAGAGTGAGACCCCATCTCAAAAAAAAAAAAAAAAAAAAGAAAAGAAAAAAGAAAAAAAAGAAAAGCTCTATCTGGATGTGAGATCCCTTTGGAGGGAGCTTTTGGAGGGAGTGCAAGCTCCCTCTGTAATGATGTAGAGCACAGTGTAAACTGGGGATATATCTGTTGCCAGTGGCTGAGTTAGGAGGCTATTACAGTGGTCAGATTATTGTGAAGTCTTGGAGATGGAAACATGTGGACAGCTTTGAGAATGAATAGGAAGTAACACTGAGAAGACTTCATTAATGGTTAGATATAGGGGCCAAGGGAGGGAGATGTCAAGGGTGACTCCTGGATTTCTAGCTTGCCCAACTTGGTATTGCTGGTACCTTCAGTAACAGAGGGAGGAATACAGGAACAAAACCACACCAGGAGTTGGGGAGAGCATGTTTACTTCTGGATGTAGCAATTTTGAAAAGGCTTTGAGACTTCCAAGATGTGATGTCAAGCAGACAATTGAACATATGGGTTGGGAACGCAGAGCTGGAGGTGTCAAAGTGTGCAGAGGTGTTAGATGAGACAATTGACACCATGGTTGGGGATGAGCTGGCCTAAGGAGGGAGCATAAAGTGGAAGAGGAGAGGCCTTAGGACAAATATTTCTGTGGCTGGGTCAGCAAAGGAGATAGAAAGAGAGTCATAAGCTAGATAGCACATGGAGAACCAATAAAGGGACATGTTATGGAAAATGAGTGATTCAAGATGTGTGGAATGGGCAACCATGTGCAGAGGTGCTGAGAAGTCAATGAGAGTAGATTACCTCCAAGTGTTCAAAGTTAATGATGAAGTCTGGCTGTACAACCTTGTATGCAGATTATTATTATTATTTGTCCACAAGCCTTAAGTTAAAGTCCCAGGAACGGATTTGATAGGTCAAAAAGGGAAAATATTTGCTAATCAACATTTTAAAGGGCAAAAGATAATAGATGATTACTCCCTGACCCCCCAGAGCTTAAGTGAGCCTCAGGGCATGCCATCTAACATGTCATTCCAAACAAATTCCAACCAGGCAGGTCTTCTTTGCCTACCATATATGTACTTTTATTTCCCTCTTTCTTTTTCTGTCTCTCTCCTTTATATTTTTTAAATCATTTCTATTCACTTGAAGACTGCTTTCATTTCAATGTTTTAGAAGTTTCAACTTATTTAAATGATAGGTTTTGACAGCAAGATGAAATGTTACATATCCCTTAGCCTTGCTTTTATAAGCAACTTTTCTTCAGTCTAATAAGTGCAGAGAATTATAGATAAGTTAGCTCAGGATATAGAAAGTGCCTATTAATCTGCTGCTTCCAAACAAAAATGACCAGCCAAGAACAAAATACAATTGATATATGTCTCTGATCTTTAAATTGCCTAATGAACAAAATGTATTAATGTATTTGAAGTGTCAGAATTCCACTTGAGGCCTGGCTGGTTCTTACGGTTCCTCATATGATCAAAAGGAGAGAGTCACCCTATCTGGCATTTCAAAAACCCATCTATGCAGAGTCACTCCTCAGCAGAAGCAATTTATATCTGAATTTTCTCCTGCCCTCATACATTGTGGTGTCTGAGAGGAAGAGGGAAGGGAGATGGTGAATCTTTTTCTAATGTGATTGTTTGCAATGGCTTTTGGCTGTGAGTTGCATGCATTTCACTCTTTTGAATGACCTCCCTGCTCTCTGATTCTTATGGCATTGACTAATACTACACACCAAGCAAGACTGCCAACTGATTGGCACAATTTGCAATTTTCATGGCTCACTTGGTAGACTTGCATAGATGTAACTGGCCTGCCTCTTCCTTCTGCCAATTAAACTGTGCACTCGAGTGTCATCACCCAATACCACTGACAAGGGCAAATGGTACCAGGTTAGCTCTGTGCAGAGACATTCACCATAGAATGATTAGTTTGTACCTTTTATTCCCTGAGGGTCCAAAATCAAAATAGCAAAAAGATAAAGAGGACTATTTCTCCACTGTCTAGGAAACACACAATGAAAGTAAATCTGCCAAATGCTAATCACATAACTTACGCCTGAACTACCTGCATAACAGCTCAAATCTGTGCTCCTCCTTTATCCTCTCTGCCTTCTCGCCTATTCAGACATCACCTCCTTCATGTGGTCTGTTCTGATCTTTAAAGAGTTGTAGAGAGGACTGAAGAAAATAAAATTGAAACATGAAGCACAGCATCTAGCATATGGTACAAGTTTAATTAATGGAAGTAGCTCCAGTAGCAGTAGCAAACCTGCCCATTGGATTTTTGTTGTTGCTGTTTGTCTTTGTCACTCAGCCTGCCGCAACCCATGGGTACAGAATTCCACATTCCATATTCCATGATCCCCTCATAAGTGATCCAGGTGAAATTTACTACTGGTTGCTTCTTCCGCGGTCATTAATTCATTTATACATCCACTCATTCATTTCATCTCTAGGTATTTCTTAAGCACCACGATGTGCCAGGCATTGAACCACAATCACTAAGGGAACAGTGGTAAACAAGGCAGATATCATATCCCTCTCCTGATAGAGCTTTTATTCTTGTGGAGCAAATCACAAGCCAAAATAAATAAATAAAATAATTGCCAGAGCAGGAAGACAAGAAGCTACTTTCCACAAGACAGTCAAGAAAAGACTTCTTTAGGAGGACAGTTTTAATCCTACACACCTGCAGAAGAGCTGAAATTAGAATGGAACTTTCAACCTAAATACATGACAGGAAGAAAGCTATGTATTTTCATGTAGAAGAACAGTTTAGGAGCAGGGGGATCCCAGTTTCCTATAATCAGCTTCTCTCTCAGTTTATTTGAATATGCACTAATAACAGAAACTGTTATAAAAATGATACGGTTTAGCAAATTTGACGCCCCCCACCCCCCAACAAAAGTATACATTTCAAATGATGAAAAGGCACAGTTTTAGATATTGGTTTGTTAAAGAAACTGGAAAATTCCCTTAACTTTTCTGGGCCTCAAATCTTTCTAAAGATAGTCAAGGTCATAAAAATACTGACCACATCAAGTCCTGGAGTTATTATAAGTGTGACCATGGCACATTAATACAAAATGTGTAATAATAAACTTTTAAAACATTTCATGAGAAATATTTAGTCTGGCAGCGATGGCAATAAACTTTAAAATATAAAAGTGTCAATGACTAAAAGAGTCTCAGAGAGATTTTAGTTTATTGTTACTTCTGATTCAATCAAAATGGAAACGTGAGTTATGCTGTAATTGTGTATCAATGCAATCTTACACTCTCCCCCAGTGAGGAGGAAGCAGAAAGAAGGAAATGAGTTGGCACCCATTTGTTGGCCACCAGAGCTTTCTTCAAGAATACATTTTGGGAAGCTTTGGATGCACAGCAAAATCAAGACATACAAGTAGAAAAAAAATGTGGTCGTCAATATACATATTGTTTCAATGCTATTCACATTACTTGTAATCATTGATATTAGGGAAAAGTGAAACAAAGAAAGAACAAACACAGTTCCTGACTGCTTGCTGGTCATTGTCAACCATCTTAATGAATTTTCTGGCTTGCCTTTCTTTTATCATGTCATATGTGGCTGGTCAAGAGGTTAACCTGTAACACAAGGTTTAATTAAGATCAAGTAATTAGGTTTTTCTTTCCTATGACAAGGAATATTTTTAATACAATTACCTAATGAGAACAGGCAAATGCTGCTGAATTCTAATTGATAAATGCCCAGGAGTACACGCAAACACTAAAGACCATCTGCCCTGAATTTTGAGTGACTACCAATTTTAAGGCTACACTACAACCAAATCAATTCAGAGCATTCTAGTTTCTCATTTAAAGAACTTCCATCTCCACTATCTGGGTACCTTATTTATTTCAGCTGTATAAGCTGATACTATCACAAGAATTCAAATGCTTTAATAATCTGCTTTTAAAAGCTGGTGAAATATTAAATATCTCCTAGCACTGATCAGTATAATTTGTCAAATTTTTAAATGGAGCAAGTCGCTAAGAAGTGTGTAAGCAAGCCCAAAAGGTACAAGACTGGATTCAGTAACAGAAATAACAACAAAAGTAAAACAAAGCAGTTTTGGGAAACAGCCAGATTCCAGTCTTAGGTCTGGAGTTACGACGTCTTGGGCAAGTAACTCAAACTATCTCTATTATTTGTAAAATAGAAATAACCAGCCCAACTTTTAGATTTGTTGGGAGCTTTGCTGAAAGTCTGTTGTCCTATGGTTTGGCATGTGATAAAAATGCGCAATCAATATCAGTCAGTATCTATCTCCCCAGGCTGGCCAGCCAGACCTCATTGTGCAATCTGCCCTGGCTTCTGAATCCTCGATTAATCACATTGGCTGACTCCCTGTGCTGCAGCCATGCTTCCGAGATGAGAATGGTCACAGGAAGGCAATGGTTTGGCACACTTTTTTCCCTGTTCAAAATTTAAAATTGTTAAAGGAAAGGAAAGCCCCTTCTTTATAATCATAGCAAAACAGAGAACTGAAAACTAAATGAGCCAAAGACTAACATCACATTTTATGCCTGATTTACTGAAGTAATTACTCACATCTATCCTTACTTTGGCCGTGACTCTTAAATTTACCTCTACCGTCTAAGAATCACAACTCTTCAGTTTGTTCAGTAGACACAAGTCCCAGGCTTAGGGGAGTTCAGGAATTAGTATTAAGGTTCTGAGTGAAAGTTCTCCATAGAAATCATTTCCTGACATAAATGTCCTCCACTAGAACACTCTGTAATTTTACACACGTGAAATTTCTCTGTTTCAAAAATAATAATACCAAGCATCTATAGGAGAGTAAATTGATACCAACATCAAAATGTAAACATGGAAGGTAAGAGAATTTTATAAGATCTGCTTTTTACACTTTCTTTTTCATATTCTATAAAAAGAGTACAACATAAGCAAAATGGTTGTCTAAATCTAACTGCAGACATAGTTTTAAGTGTTTCAACTGCAGTAATACTCCAAGATCCTCTCTCATAGTTTATAACAGCATTCAAATTCTACTCCAGACATTTACCCTTTCCATATGTTCCTAGCAGGAAACGTGCTTGAAAACAGAAATTCAGAGAGACATATGATACTCAATAATATAAAACATTTTCTAGGGGAACAAAAGGGACACTCTAACGAAAATACTTGTTGGATATTGGTTTTACTCAAATATTATCCAAGTATCATTCCTTTGGTAACCATTGTTTTGCATCTCAGAATTTGTTTTTTTCTGAGATTTTTTGAATGCTCTTGTATTAAGATGTTTTTATAGCAAGTTATTATTTTAAGTCTTATTTTCAAATCTTCTCTAACTAAAATGTATAGCTGAAGCCACTCCACAAATGAAAATTCCCCCTTCCTTTTGTAAAACTGTAGGCATTCTTTGATACAATAGCACAATTGTTTGAGCTCCAGTGCAACAAATTTGAGACCCTGATGAAGTCAACAGAAATTTACAACGTGTCACCTCACTTAAAAGATCAAAACATAATAGACTGAAGAATATCCACCAAATGATTATTAAATATTTTTGACAGTTTGAATTTTAATTTTGGGACTACCAGTGACAGTTAGTTTCTGAAAAATCCTGTCACCAATTTCTCTAAGGGTATAAAAGTATTGCCACTGAAGATCTTTCTACAGCATAGATGGGTGAGTGAGGGATGTATAGTGAATGTGTGCTGAAACTTTGGATTATATAATCAGATGAGAAGAATTTAAAATGCCTGCATCAGAAAATAATGCAACAGCAAAGAGAAGTGTAGTTCATTGAAAACTCTCTTCATGAGATACAATGTCTTTCTCTTCCTGCCTTTCAAATGAAAAAAATCTTTTAGATATAACTTATTTCATTTTCTACAATATTCTTGAAGTTTTGCCAATAAAAGAGATTTTCTTATACCGAAGGAACATTTAAATACAACCAGGATAAGGATTGCAAGCACATGGAAGGCATAATGCCCCTCATCAATACACCACGAGCAGTCATTGCAATAGATGTTGATACTCTTGGTCAGTGCAATGGTAAATCTTGTGTGTCAACTTGACTGGACTAGGGTGCCCAGCTGTTTTAGTAAAACAACACCCAAGATGTTCTGAAGACTGTATTTAAATGTGATTGACATCTACAATCAGTAAATCAGTTTGAGTAAAACGGATTACCCTCCATAGTATGAGTGGGTATCATCCAATCAGCTGAAAGCTTTAAGAACAAAGAATGAGGTTTCTGGAAAAGAAGCATTTCTATCTCAAGGCTGCAATATAGAAACTCTGCCTGAGTCTCTCACCTGCTAGACTGCCCTGCAGATTTCAGACTCAAGACTGCACGCAATTAACTTTTACCTGAATTTCCAGCCTGCCAGCTTGCCCTGAAGATTTCAAACTTGCCAGGCACCACATTCACATGAGCCAATTCCCTAAAATCAATCTCTTTGTACTTATATATTATTTACATATACAAATGATATCCTATTGGTTCTGAAGAACTCTGACTTCTGACTAATATACCCAGTAGGCCCAGGCATGGCCTTTTCTCCACACTTATTCCAGCAGCCACTACTGGTCAATTAGAGGTGACATACCCAGTTAAATCTATTTTCCATTTCCATATCTGGACATTTAAGAAAATAGCATATGGACATTTAGGTGCACATGTACCCTAAAACTTAAAGTATAATAATAATAAAATTAAAAAAAAGAAAATAGCTTATGGAATACATGTATAAAGTAAAAATTCCTTTTGTAATGTGTTTAATTAACTTTGTCTTTTTTTATTTATTTTTATTTTTTTTTTTTGAGATGGAGTTTCACCCTTGTTGCCCAGGCTGGAATGCAACGGCACGATCTCAGTTCACTGCAACCTCCACCTACTGGGTTCAAGCAATTCTCCTGCCTCAGCCTCCTGAGTAGCTGGGATTGCGGGTGTGCACCACCCAGCTAATTTTTGTAATTTTATTAGAGACAGGGTTTCACCACTTTGGCCAGGCTGGTCTCAAACTCCTGACCTCAGGTGATCCACCCACCTCAGCCTCTCAAAGTGCTGGAATTACAGGCGTGAGCCACCACGCCAGCCACCATTGTCTTTTATATTTTAGTTGTTATGTAATCAGCTTGCTTAAATCAAAATATACTTCATTTCACAGCTCTTCATTATTCATATTGTAGAACAGTTTCCCACAGCCTACCAAAAATAATAAAAAGCACAGAGATGTGTTAACATCAAACTTTACATCATCTTAAGATGAGTTTTCACCTTTCTCAACTTTCTCCCTAAATAATCTTACCCACTTTCTTAAAGTCAGAGTTAAGATGAAGATACAAAAATTGTCAAAGAGCCTTAGTCATAGGACCTACCCCACCTCCAAAAGCGTTCACCAGCTTCTCCTGCCCAACCATTTTCTCTGAGTCCTAGATCCATTGCATCCAACTATTCATCCCTGCTGCTACCCACTCCCCCACCTGTCTGTCTCCCACATTCCTGTAAATATATACTACTTCATTGCTTATGTCAGGTATTTAAGTCATCCTTGATTCCTCTTTTCTTTTACTCCCATGTCCGAATACCACCACATAACATTTTTCCTACCTCAAAGGCAAATCTCATTTTGTCCTCTACTCCCCATTTCCTCTGTTATCATTCAGGTCCTTGATGCCAGTATTTCCGACTTGGACTCTTGCAACTGCTTCTTTGTGGTCTCCTCTTCCATTCTTCCCCTCACAATTCATTCCTCACATTGCATGAAAAGTTCCTATTGTGGAAACTGGATTATGTTACAAAGTTGATTAACCATTCAAAGGCTTCTCATTACACTCAGAGTAGAGCCCATGGGACTCATCCCCTCCCTCACCATCATCACTTCATGCCATTTGCCCTCTGCTCAGTGTCTGAGGCACACTGTTCCCCCATTGCCACATCTAGTTTTTAAAATAAGCTCTTCCTCACCTCACAGCTTTATTTCATGCTGGTCCCACTTCCTGAAAGCTTTCTCCATGCGTACATCCTGAGTCCTTTACTGTCACTTGACCCAAGGGTCAAGATGCTGTTCACCAACATCTCATCTCAATCAGTCATTTTCTGAGATGGTGTTTTCTAACAAACTTCCTTGCTTGGTGTATTATGATTTGTAAGTATCTTGTTTATTTGTCTGCTTACCAGTTTTTAGTTTCCTACCTCTGCTAGAATGTAAGTGCTGGTA